>NC_000004.12:82254714-82406229 GCF_000001405.40 Homo sapiens | reverse complement strand
CTTTCTGTCCTGAATGGTGTTAGAGAGAACACTATCTCACCATTTCTGCAGGCTATTTTATTTTATTTTTTGAGACAGTCTCGCTCTGTCACCCAGGCTGGAGTGCAATGGCTTGATCTCAGCTCACTGCAAACTCTGCCTCCCGGGTCCCAGCGGTTCTCCTGCCTCAGCCTCCTGAGAAGCTGGGACTACAGGCACCTGCCGCCACGCTCAGCTAATTGTGTCTTTTTAGTAGAGACAGGGTTTCACCATGTCGGCCAGGCTGGTCTCGAACTCCTAACCTCAAGTGATCCGCCCACCTCAGCCTCCCAAAGTACTGGCATTACAGGAGTGAGCCACGGTGCCTGGCCCATTTCTGCAGGCTTTAAAACTGAGAAAATAAATTAGCTGGGACTGAGAAAATAAAAATATGCCCCGCTATGCATGAATCTGGGAGGACACATACAAATAAAGTTAGCTGCAAAGTTAAAGAGAAATAATGTTTCTCTCAAGGACATGCTGCAGCTGTAAAGCATAAAAACAACCCCCTTGCTGGTGTGACTACTGTTTTGTCTCTGACTGAGAAGCTTAGTTCCCTGAAATGATAGACCAGAAACCACGGAAATTATGTCAGGAAAAATGAAATATCCCACTCTTACTTGGAACATCTAAGGCACAAAGAAGCAACTTTGATTTCCAATCCAGGTGCAAAGCTTCAGAGAAGGACTTTCTGAAAACAACATTCCACCTTAACTTCCTAGTACCCAAAGAGACGGGAACCATGGCCAGGCGTGGTGGCTCACCCCTGTAATCCCAGCACTTTGAGGGGCCGGGGCAGGCAGATCACCTGAGGTCAGGAGTTCGAGACCAACATGGCAAAACCCCGTCTCTACTAAAAATAACAAAATTAGCTGGGTGTGGTGGCAGGCACCTGTGGTCCCAGCTACTCAGGAGGCTGAGGCAGGAGGATAGCTTGAGTCCAGGAGGCGGAGGCTGCAGTGAGCCGAGGTTGTGCCACTGCACTCTGTCTCAAAAAAAAAAAAAAAAAAGAAAAGAAAAAGAAAAGAAACAGGAACCTGTTCTCCTTTGCAGTCCAGATCTGATGTTGTCCCACTTTACATACAACCCTATTTTGCTTTGATCCTATCAAAATACTGCTTTATTTAATTTTCACCTAAATGTCTCTCTTCCCCAAATCCTATCTTTTTTTCTTTTTTTGAGACAGAGTCTCCCTCTTGTCGACAGGTTGGAGTGCAGTGGTGTGATCTGGGCTCACTGCAGCCTCTGCCTCCCAGGTTCAAGTGATCCTCCTGCCTCAGCCTCCCGAGTAGCTGGGACTCCAGGCATGTGCCACCATGCCCTGCTAATTTTTGTATTTTTAGTAGAGACAGGGTTTCACCATGTTGGCCAGGATGGTGTTGATCTCTTGACCTCATGATCTGCCTGCCTTGGCCTCCCAAAGTGCTGGGATTACAGGTGTGAGCCACCATGCCCAGTCCCTATCTTTTTTTTTTTTTTTTTTTTTTTTGGACATAGGGTCTCACTGTAGCCCAGGCTGGAGTGCAATGGTGCAATTACAGCTCACTGCAGCCTCCACCTCCTGGGCTCAAGTGATCCTCCCACCTCAGCCTCCTGAGTAGCTGGGACCACAGGCGCATGACAGCACACCAGGCTAATATTTTTGTATTTTCTGTAGAGACAGGGTTTCACCACGTTGCTATGCTGGTCTCAAACTCCTGGGCTCAAGTGATCAGACCTTCTTGGCCTCCCAAAGTGCTGGGATTATAGGCTTGAGCCACCATGCCCAGCCCCTTATCTTATCTTTTCTTCTGTTTGGTGAGACATCTCATAGTTTCTCTGATGTGCAGTCTCTCTTGTTGCAGCAAGTCAGTAAACCGTACTTCTTTCAACTACAGGTTTGTCCCTGATGGTCTGAGGCTGATTGGGCTGGAACAGTATCATGGAGGTATGGCCAAGATCCTCGGTGCCGTGAACCAGAACCCTTGGTAATAATATGCGCATCTGAGACTTCTTGAGTCTCCCCTGCATTAGGCCTCTCTGTCCTTGATTACATGGGTTTTGCATTGAAACTGGACTTTTATTATCTCTTTGGTCCCTTAGGGTCATGCTGATTTCTTGAGTCAGCAGGCAGAGCAATTTATCCTTGGGGTTAGGGCCCAAATTCATGAGTTTTTCTTTTATGTTTTGTATTTTAAAAAGAGAGAGAATTTATTTTAAAACAGTTTCTTTTATATTACTTATAAAAGTAATATTTTTATTTTTGACCACCAGCCAACCTCTTGTGGTTTGCCTCTAAGATACTTGCACTACTTCCTGGCATAACTTGACAGAGGACCGTGAATTATAGAGGCTACTCTGGAGAACTTTGGCTCAAATAAGATTGTTCATTTTAGACATGTCTTAGAATGAAAAAGGAAAAAAACCCAAGTCTCATGAGGGTACTGTCTTCTCTATTCTTTTTCTTTTTTATTAAAATTTTTTTTCTCTTTTTTAAATGTTTTTTCTTTTTTGTCTTATCTTTCTAAAAGAGAGATCATTTAGTTTAATGAAAGACTCCCTCCCTCCCCAAACATCCTTCATTTCCATTCTTAGGGGTTTAATAAATATTGGCTGCTTTATTCTATGAGTTGGCAAAATTGTCAAGGGCCCAAGTTACTGTTTCAACCAGGTGTAACAACTTGTGTGTGTGCAAGTGTATCCTGAAATGGGTTTTTCTATATCTAAACTTCTTCCCTCTCCTTAGAGCAGAAAGATTATTAGCTTTTCTCCAATAATTGTATATGTATCTATAGCTGGCTCTTGCTTTTTCTTTTATTTTCTTTTCTTTCTTTTTTTTAAAGAGACAGAGTTGCACTGTGTTACCCAGGCTGGAGTGCAGTGGCTATCCACAGGTGTGATTACAGTACACTACAGCCGCGAACCCCTGGCCTTAAGCGATCCTCCTGCTTCAGCCTCCTGAGTAGCTGGGACTACAGGTGCATGCCACTGTGTCTGGATTCTTCTCACTTTCTTTTCCTGTTTTCTCCCTCCTATCCTCCCTCAAGAAATTTTAAAGGTGAATTGACTTAAAAAAAATCATTTTGTTGTCATGTGTGCACTCTAGAAATATCTAGTCCACATAAATAATCAAAAATTTCTAAACAGAAAAAGTTAAAAATGGTATTTTGTTATGTAAAAATGCTAACACTGTATTTTAATTTTCATAATACTGAAGTTAAATTTCTAATGCTTTAAACTTTCTAAATTTTTATATTGGGCTTAAGAGTCAAATAACTTATTATTTCCAAAAATTGTTTAAGATTGGAAATATAATATGGTGTTTAATTAAATAAAAATGTAATTACAGATGTCTTTTGAAAGGTTTTGATTATGTGAAATTCCTGTAATACTATAAAATGTGTTAATTAAAATTTTAATTTCCAAGTTATTAAATCTTTAAGAACTTATAAAACACATTAATTGATATATGATCTTTGGATACTTGAACAATTTTAAGTTAAAAAATGATACAAAACTCTGGTCATAGCATATGATGGAAAAATCTTAATCTTCTGAGACTTGTGATGTCTTCAAAGGAACCACTTCAATGCAATTTAAAGAAAAAGAAAAGTAAAAAAAAGCCCTCCCCAAGATGGCTGCTGAAGACGAACTACTGCTCCCGCTGCCCCCCGCCGAGCTGCTGGAAACCGGCAAACAGATTCTGGACGAAGTAGAAGTAGCGACTGAACCTGCCGATTCCCGGATAGTCCAGGAGAAGGTGTTCAAGGGCCTGGATGGATCTCCTTGAGAAGGCTGCCGAAATGTTATCGCAGCTCGAGTTGTTCAGCCGAAATGAAGATTTGGAAGAGATTGCTTCCACCGACCTGAAGTACCTGGTGGTGCCAGTGTTTCAAGGAGCCCTCACCATGAAACAAGTCAACTCCAGCAAGCGTCTAGATCATTTGCAGCGGGCTCGAGAACACTTTATAAACCACTTAACTCAGTGTCATTGCTATCATGTGGCAGAGTTTGAGCTGCCCAAAGCCAAGAACAACTCAGCCGAAAATCACACTGCTAATTCCTCCATGGCTTATTCTAGCCTCGTTGCTATGGCATCTCGAAGACAGGGTAAAATAGAGAGATACAAGCAGAAGAAGGAGTTGGAGCATAGGTTGTCTGAAATGAAACCTGCTGTGGAAAGTGGTCAAGCAGATGATGAGCGTGTTTGTGAATATTATCTTCTTCACCTTCAGCGGTGGATTGATATTAGCTTAGAAGAGATTGAGAACATTGACCAGGAAATAAAGATCCCGAGAGAAAGAGACTCTTCAGGAGGCATCAACTTCTAACTCATCTCACCAGGAGAGGCCTCCAGTGAAACCCTTCATTCTCACTCAGAACACGGCCCAAGCCAAAGTATTTGGAGCAGGTTATCCAAGTCTGGCAACTATGACGGTGAGTGACTGGTTGAGCAACATCGGAAATATGGAGCATTACGAGATCAGGAAATAGCCAAGGCAACACCAGAGGAATTCAGAAAAGCGGCTCAGCAATAGGAACATCAAGAAGAAAAGGAGGAAGAGGATGATGAACAAACACTCTACAGAGCTCTGGAGTGGGATGACTGGAAGGACACCCATCCTTGGGGCTATGGCAACCGATAGAACATGGGCTGATGTTCCCACAACACTGACAGGACTGCAGGGTGCACACCTCCCACGCCAAGGAAAGCCAGACAGTCCTCCCCTCCCTGGGCTCACGCTTCAGCTGTGTACAACGAAGGCAAAGATGCTAAATCTTGTTTTGCATTCAATAAAGTGTCAAGTGATTAAAAACAAAAACAAAACAAACAAAAAAAACCTCTGGTCACTAAATACAGATGTGATCTATTCTTATTCTTATAACGTTATAAAATGACTATAAACAGGATGTGTAAATGTGCTTTTCCGAATAGGGGATCTGATAAAAAAATAAAATAAGCAAACAAACAAGCAAAAATAAACTGTGTAAATGCTTTGAATGATATCATATATTGGTTTGTTTTGCCAGCTTAACATTTATGAAGATAGTCTAAAATGTGTACCAAAAAAATTAGGTAGATATTTCTTGGTTTACTGTCTTCTAGACATCCATGCAAAAAACAAAAGTTGGTTGCTTTGGCTAAAAGTGATAATTAATAAAACAATAAAGGCTATACTCATAATAATTACAGAGAAATATGAATATGTATGCAAGATAATATAGTTTATTAAATAAATTCTGGATATATTTACATTATAATTTCAAGTATAAATACATTGATTTATTTAATATACTGATTGGATTAATTTTATCTTAAAGTTAAAAGCTTTAATTTTGTAACTTATTTACATAGCCATGTAATTATATATGTCTAAACACACACATATAAATGTATATTAAGATCAATTGAAGAATCATCTATAAATGGTTAAAAAATTTTAAGGTGAAATCAATGTTAGTAGATTTATTAAAAACAGATAAATTCTTGACTAAAAATTGTTGCATGGATGATATTCTAAAATAAAAAAAGTCAAATTAGAATTTGGATTTTCTTTTTGGAAAATGACTAAGTTAGTCTGTGACCAGATAACAGCTATCCTTTTGAAACACCAAAATACTCTATTAATTCTCTAGACTTCTTGGCATACTCTGGAATAATTTTGACCAAAAATTCCTCACTTTTCAGTTAAGTTCCTAGTAATAACTGTTCCCTACTGACGTGGTTTTTAAATACGTATAATAACTATAACTGTCTTTTGGAGTTTTTGTTTGTTTTGATAGGGTCTCGCTCTGTCACCCAGGCTGGAATGCAGTGGTACAGTCTCCACTCACTGCAGCCTTGACCTCCTAGGTTCAAGCCATCCTCCCACCTCAGCCTCTCCAGTAGCTGGAGCTACCAGCATGTGCCGCCATGCCCAGATAAATTTTATTTTTTTAATTTGAGACGGAGTCTCCCTTTGTTGACCAGGCACAAATTGTGCAGTGGCACAATTTGGGTTCACGGCAACCTCCACCTCCCGGATTTAAGTGATTCTCCTGCCTTGGCCCCCCAAGTAGCTGGGATTACACCACTGGGCGCACCACCACACCCGGCTAATTTTTGTATTTTTAGTAGAGACGGGGTTTCACCCTGTTGGCAGGCTGGTCTCCAGCTCCTGACCTCAAGTGACCCGCCCGCCTCAGCCTCCCAAAGTGCTGGGATTACCGGTGTGAGCCACCGTGCCCGGAGGTCTTGGATTTTAAAAATTATAATTTCTGTTCATACCTTATATCTTCTGACAATTCTTCTTCATTCTGCCTTTATATTAGGCCCTAAATTCAGAATAATAAAAATGTTAAGATGTTTTTTATCCTTCAAATATCTTTAGACTTCCTGAAATGACTGTTAGGTATCACAAATATTTGCTCATTCACTTTCTACTCAGGAAGAATAATTGAAATAATTGTTTGGCCTAGAGTGGTGGCTCATGCCTGTAATCCCAGCCACTTTGGGAGGCCAAGGCGGGCAGATCGCTTGAGCCCAGGAGTTTGAGGCCAACCTGGGCAACACAGTGAAACCCATCTCTGTGAAAAATACAAAATACAAAAAATTAGCCAGGTGTGGCAGTGCACGCTTGTGGTCCCAGCTACTTGGGAGGTTGAGGTTGGCAAATTGGTTGAGCCCAGGAGGCAGAGGTTGCAGTGAGCGGAGATCATGGGGAGATCATGGCACTGTACTCCAGCCTGGGCGACCCCAACTCAAAAAAAAAGAAAAAGAAAGAAAGAAATAATTAAGTGTGGGCATTTTTCAAACTTAAACAATGGTGAGAACTACTTTTTAGTAGCAATTAAAAAAAAAGGACAAAAGAAAAGGAAAAAACCCATATTTTATGAATTTTCTACAATGTGACATTTTTATTTTAAAAATAAGTAACTTAAAAATAGATATTACTCAGCCGGGCATGGTAGCTCATGCCTATAATCCCACACTTTGGGAGGCTGAGGCAGGCAGATCATGAGCTCAGGAGATTGACACCATCCTGGCTGACACAGTGAAACCCCGTCTCTACTAAAAAAATACAAAAAATTAGCTAAGCGTGGTGGCGGGCGCCTGTAGTCCCAGCTACTTGGGAGGCTGAGGCAGGAGAATGGCGTGAACCTGGGAGGCGGAGCTTGCAGTGAGCAGAGATCGCACCACTGCACTCCAGCCTGGGGGACAGAGCGAGGGTCCGTCTAAAAAAAAAAAAAAAAAAAGGTAAATAGAAATTTAGTTAAAAATAGAAAGTTAAAGAGCATATCAATCATATACATATTTAATGTATTTTAGTTTATCTAAATCTCTCTTGGTAAGCCAACAGCTGGAAGACATGCACTAAGAAAATGGGAAGCAGTTGGTAGAAATAATTTTTGGATATGTGGAGAAATAGCTGGGATTAAAAAAAAAGTGCTGTGGGAATCTGGGGTCATAAAGAGACTGTTGCAGAAGGGGGATGTTAGAAAGAACAAAAAACCGGGAATTTAATTTTTTTCACAGGAAAATGAAACAGAAAAAACTGCTTTGGATATAGCACAGAGCCAGTGAAGGATATACAATGGTACTTCTGAAACAAAGGGAAGAAAAGAATGCCCAGAAGTTTGTGTATAGGAGAACCTACCCAGCAGTTCTGCTGTGAGCATCAAGAGGGAAGGCTAGGTCTTTCTTCATGAAATGGAGAGCCTGGAGAATGCTGGGCTGGTAATGTCAGCAGATCAATTTACCTACTCAAAACTCATATTTCCACTTTCCTTTTGGGTTCACAAGGGTGATCTGCTAAGATGGCTAAAGTCTCTGGGGACTTTTTTTTTTTTTTTTCTGAGACAGCGTCTTGGTTTGTTGCCCAGGCTGGAGTGCAGTGGCATGATCTCAGCTCACTACAACCTCTGCTTACCTGGTTCAAGCTATTCTCCCACCTCAAACTCCCAAGTAGCTGGGATTATAGGTGTCCACCACCATGCCCAGCTAATTTTTTTTTTTTTGAGATGGAGTCTAGCTCTGTTGCCCAGGCTGGAGTGCAGAGGCGCGATCTTGGCTCACTGGAACCTCTACCTCCCAGGTACAAGCGATTCTCCTGCCTCAGCCTCCCAAGTAGCTGGGATTACAGGTGCCCGCTACCACACCCAGCTAATTTTTGTATTTTTAGTAGAGACGGGGTTTCATTGTGTTGGTCAGGCTGGTCTCAAACTCCTGACCTTGTGATCTGCCTGCCTCTGCCTCCCAAAGTACTGGGATTACAAGTGTGAGCCACTGTGCCCAGCCTAATTTCTGTATTTTTAGTAGGGACAGGGTTTTCCCATGTTGGCTGGGCTGGTCTCGAACTCCTGAGCTCAAGTTATCTGCCTGCCTGGGCCTCCCAAAGTGCTGGGATTACAGATATGAGCTACCACGCCCGGCCTCTGGGGACTTATTAATTTACTATATTTTGTTCTAAAGGAGGACTTTTAATGTTAGCTAGTAGTACAGTATATTGTATAGAAAAAAGGATAGAGGCATGCATAACAACTATTAGCACAAATACATATGTGCATTTTTTCTCTTCTAGCACTGATGTGACTCCTGTCATTAGCAGTTGTGACACACATTGCTTAAAATCAACAGCTGATTCAACATTTGGAAATATAAACTTTATGAATAAAAATTATATAATCCAATTGAAGATTTCTATAAGCTCACCCAAGAAGTATAATACCTCAGCTAACTACATTCTCGTTTGGGATTTTATTCTTCCTTTTTGCTTACAAATATTCTTGAATTTATATTCCTAAAGGCAAAAAAAAAAAAAAAAAAAAAGGCACATACTAAAATGAGCAACTGCTTCTCTTCTTTCTTTCTTTCTTTATTTTTTTGTTTTTTGGAGGGTGTGGGGACAGTGTCTCGCTCTGTTGCCCAGGCTAGAGTGCAGTGGCGCGATCTCAGCTCACTGCGACCTCTGCCTCCTGGGTTCAAGCGATTCTCTTGCCTCAGCCTCTGAGTAGCTGGCACCACAGGCACATGACATCGCGCCCAGCTAATTTTTGTATTTTCTGATAGAGGCGGGGTTTTGCCGTGTTGGCCAGGCTAGTCTCGAACTCCTGACGTCAGGTAATCTGCCTGCCTTGGCCTCCCAAAGTGCTGGGATTACAGGCATGAACACTGCGCCCGGCCCCTTTATTTATTTATTTACTTATTTAAAGACGGAGTCTCGCTCTGTCGCCAGGCTGGAGTGCAGTGGCGTGATCTTGGCTCACTGCAACCTCTGCCTCCCGGGTTCAAGCAATTCTCCTGCCTCAGCCTCCTGAGTAGCTGGGACTACAGGCGCGCGCCATCACACTCAGCTAATTTTTTGTTGTTGTTGTTGTTGTTGTATTTTTAGTAGAGACAGGGTTTCATCATGTTGGCCAGGATGGTCTCAATCTCTTGACCTCATGATCCACCCGCCTCGCCCTCTCAAAGTGCTGGGATTACAGGCGTGAGTCACCGCACCCGGCCACATTCTTTATTTTTAACAGCTTTTTTGAGCTATAATTCACATTTCATGCAATTAATTTATTTAAAGAGTAAAATTGTATGGTTTTTAGTGTATTGACAAAGCTGTGTACCCATTACTGCAATGAATTTCAGAACATTTGTATAGCCCCAAAAAGAAATTCTTTACCTATTAGCAATTGCTCCTTATTTCTCTCTGACGTCCCAGCCCTAGGCAACCACTACTGTCTGTTCCGTCTTTATAGGTTTGCTTCCGGGCATTTAATATACATGGAATCATACAATATGTGGCCTTGTGTTACTGGCTTTTTCACTTAACGTGATGTTCCCCGCTTCATCCATGTTGGAGTACATATCAGTACTTTATTCCTTTTTATCACTGAATAATAGTCTATCCTATGGTGTGAAAAAAAAAGCATGAACACAGCAGGCTGGAGACTGCTATCCTTAGAAAAGCCTGCTTACGGCCGGCCGGGCGCGGTGGCTCACGCCTGTAATCCCAGCACTTTGAGAGGCCGAGGGGGCGGATCACAAGGTCAGGAGATCGAGACCATCCTGGCTAGCACGGTGAAACCCCGTCTCTACTAAAAATACAAAAAATTAGCCGGGTGTGGTGGCGGGCGCCTGAAGTCCCAGCTACTCGGGAGGCTGAGGCAGGAGAATGGCGTGAACCCGGGAGGCGGAGCTTGCAGTGAGCCGAGATCGCACCACTGCACTCAAGCCTGGGGGAGGGAGCGAGACTCCATCTCAAAAATAAATAAATAAATAAATAAGTAAATCAATCAATCAATAAATAAAAAGAGAAGCCTGCTTACCAGATTGGCCCTTGACTGGTGTCTGGGACCTTGAATTTGGGGAGATTTCCACCATTCCCTAACTGATATGGATGGTTTATTCTGCCTTAACTATTTGTATGAACTCTGGTTTGTGCTATCCACCTGTTTTCCGCCTAGAGTCTGCAATCTTGGTACATGCTACGCAGAGGGTGCCTACATGATCAGCTCCCAATAAAAATCTTAGGCATTGAGTCACGAATGAGTTTCCCTGGCAGACACCATTTCACAAATTATTACAATTCATTGCTGGGGGATTTAATCTCATCCTGGGTGACTCCACTGGGAGAGGACTCTTGGGAAGCCTGTGCCTGGCTTCCTCTTGACTTTGCCCTTAGTTGATTTTGCTTTGTATCCTTTTGCTGCTATAAACCTTAACCATGACTATGACTACATCCTGTGGGTCCTCTCATCAAATACAGGGGTGAGCTTGGAGGCCTCCAAGACATATGAATATAGCTTATTTTACTTATCCATTCATTAGCTGATGGACATGTGGATTATTTCCACTTCTTGGCTATTATGAATAAATGCTACTATGAACATTCATGCACGGGTTTCTGTGTAGACTTTCATTTTTCTTGGTTATTGTTGTATAATAGAGAATTTGGCCTCATCCGTGGTTCCTGGGGAGAGACTCTAAATCCTTGTAATTTCCGAAGTAATAGGAGTATCTTTGTTTTTCATGAGGCTCTCAGATCACACCTGAGTTTACACTGAGGTGACTCATGCTGGGCACCTTAGAAAGCTTCAGGAAGGGGGCTGATCATGTGATTACAGAGTTGGGGCTTTGAGGCATGTGATATCACCCAGTGTCCTGGGAGGGGAAGAGTCTGAGTCCATTCCTGTGGCTGTTGATTCAATTAATCATGCCTACTTAATGGAACACCAATACTGAATACTGAACCTCAGTGGAGCTTCCTGGTTTATGAACACGTCAGTGTGTCAAGAAGGTGACACATCCAGAGACAGCACAGCAGCTCTGTGTTTGGGACCCTCCCCGACCTCTCCCCATGTGTCTCTTCATTTGGCTGGTTCTGATACGTATCCTTTATAATAAAATCGTAATCACAAATATAGAGCTTTCCTGAGTTCTGTGTCATTCTAGTGAATTATCAGACCTTAAGGGGATGTGGGAGCTTCCAAACTTATAGCCGGTAGGTCAGAAGTGAAGGTGGTCAGAAATGTAGACTACAGTGAACCATGATTGCGCTACTACACTCCAGCTGAGCCTATGGAGTGAGACTCTGTCTCTTAAAGAGAGAGAGATTGGAAAGAGAGAGGGAAAGAGAGAGAGAAAGAGAGAGAGAGAAACAGAGAAACAGAGAAACAGAGAAAGCTGACCAGAAGATCTTGGTGGCAGAATTCAGGAATGGTGGTAACACTCTAAACTTTATATGCCTATTTTCAGAGTGAAAGTGCTTGGGGGTGGAGTGTAGAGGACTCTCTTTTGTTACTGTATATATTTCTGTGTGTCTGGATTTTTAGAATTAAATTGTATTCATATAGTACTTGTGTGTTTTAAAATTATTTTAGGTCTGGTGTGGTGGCTGACACCTATAATCCCAACACTTTGGGAGGCCAAGGTGGGAAGATTGCTTGAGCCTGGGAATTCAAGACCAACCTGGGCCACAGAGTGGGACTCTGCTTCTACAAAAATTATCCTGGCATGGTGGCACACACCTGTAGCCCCAGCTACTCAGGAGGCTGAGGTGGGAGAGTTTCCTGAACCTGGGAAGTTGAGGCTGCAGTAAAACGTGATTAAGCCACTTCACTCCAGCCTGGATGATAGGAGTGGCCCTGTCTCAAAAATAAAATAAAATAAATAAAATACTTTTAAAGTAAAAATGAGAATACATAAACTGGGTATGGTCCTCTTATCTCAGCTACTGGGGACCTAAAGCAGGAGGACCCCTTGAGCCCAAGAGTACAAGACAAGCCTGGGCAACATAGCAAGATTCTGTCTCAAAAAAAATATATATAGTACAAAATAATATAACACAGTGGTAGACAGTAGAAGGAGACTGACTTAAACCCAGGAAGAAGAGATGGGCTATACTATGTGCTAGGCCTATCATGCTGTTTGCAACACACAAGAGGTCACAATGAACTGTTTGTGAACTGAATGATGTAGTGATGTTGGCAACTTCCTGAGGAAGAGCATGAAGGCAGCCTTGGTCTCTGCTGTAGCCCACAGGGAGGTATGCCATCTTCCTGAGCCTTTAGCTGGAAAGTGATCTATGGTCTACAGCAGCGATCCCCAACCTTTTTGGCACCAGGGACAGTGACACCCGAAGTGTGTTGCTTATGTCCAGTCTACTCCGTAATCTCGTTCTGGTTGCTGTCACTGCAGAAAACCCTGCTTCACAAAGATAGGACGCTGGAAATGGAAGCAGGCTTTCCAGTACTTTTGTGGCAATCTCAGGATAATCCACCTTGACTTTAATCCAGAACATATGGAGATTTGAAGTTGACTCAAACATACTGTTTTTTTTTTCCTTTTTGTTTGTTTGTTTATGTTTGAGACAGAATCTTGCTCCATCACCTCATTAGTGTAAACTCAGGTGTGATCTGAGAGTCTCATGAAAAACAAAGATACTCCTATTACTTCAGATATTACAAGGATTTAGAGTCTCTCCCCAGGAACCAGGGACGAGGCCAAATTATTATACATGGATGCTCTGCATCCATCTCCTCACAGAGCTACAAGAAAAATGAAAGTCTACACAAAAACCTGTACATGAATGTTCATAGTAGCATTATTCATAATAGCCAAGAAGTGGAAATCGCCCAGGCTGGAGTACAGTGGTGCAATCTCAGCTCATTGCAATCTCTGCCTCCTAGGTTCAAGTGATTCTCCTGCCTCAGCCTCCTGAGTAGCTAGGCCTACAGGCACGCACCAACACACCCAGCTAATTTTTGTATTTTTAGTAGAGATAGGATTTCACAATGTTGGCCAGGCTGGTCTCGAACTCCTGAACTCAGGTGATCTGCCTGCCTCAGCCTCTGAAAGTTCTGGGATTACAGGTGTGAGCCACCGCGCCTGGCCTCAAACTCTTTTGAAAGCTGAGAGAGGTGATTACGCACCAGCTGGGAGAAAGAAGGCCCTGGCTCAGCCTCTTTCAAAATCTCTGCTAATGTTTGAAACGTGTCAGAAATCCCAATGTTCACTTGTCGGCCCCATAATTCCAGTTTGGTTTTGAATGCAGCCACCTTATCTGCTGACTTGAACAAAGTTGTCGTTTTCCCCTGAAGTGACAGATTGAGTTTGTTGACCAGGTTGATATGTCACACAAGTAAACAAGTTTTGTGACCCATTCTGTGTCACTGAAATGTGCTGCCAGTGGTGATCGTTTTTCTAAAAGAAATACCTGGAGCAGCTCTTGTAACCCAAAAACTCTGGCCAGTGAGCTACCTTTAGAAATCCATCTCACCTCTGTGTATAAGAGAAGACGTGTGTGCTCTGCATCCGTCTCCTTGCAGACCTGCATGAACAGATGAGTTAAGGGCATGTACTTTAATGTGGCTGATAATTTTAATCACATCCTGCAAAACGTTGTTAAGTTCAGGTGACATTTTTTGGCTAGCCAGCATTTCTCTATGGATGACACAGTGTGTAGACTCATATTCAGAAGTGACCTCATGGCTGGGGACGGTGGCTAATGCCTGAATTCCCAGCACTTTGGGAGGCCAAGGCGGGTGGATCACCTGAGGTCGGGAGTTCGAGATCATCCTGACCAACATGGAGAAACCTCATCTCTACTAAAAATACGAAATTAGCAGGGCATGGTGGTGCATGCCTGTAATCCCAGCTACTAGGGAGGCTAAGGCAGGAGAATCGCTTGAATCTGGGAGGCAGAGGTTGCAGTGAGCCGAGGTCAGGCCATTGCACTCCAGCTTGGGCAACAACAGTGAAACTCCATCTCAAAAAAAAAAAAAAAAAAAAAAAGGTGATCTCTTTCACCCAAGTAGTGAAACCAGAAAGCTCTCCAGTCATGGCAGCCGCTCAGTCCATGCATATACCAACACAAGATGACCAATTCAGTTTTCCTGATATGTAATTATTCAAAGACTTGAATAGTTCTGCAGCTGTGGTGTTGGTTGGCAACAAAAGTGCATATAACATATTCTCATGCACATCCTCCTGAAAAAATATCACACAAAAACAAGCATTGTTGCCTTGTTGTCAATATCAGTAGACTCATCAATCTGGATGGCATACCATGGTGACTCACTAATCTTGACAATCGTGCCTCAATATCCTCTGCTATTTCATCAATTCATCTAGTGCCTCTGCAGCCTCTCCTAAAAACTAACGGCAAATGTCTTTAGCAGGAGGCAGGATCAACTCTTCACCAATAGCAAAGGGCTTCTTAGCTTTTGCAATGTGGTTAGCCACTAAGAATGATGCTCTCAGTGCAGACACATTTGATGAAGTGGTGGCCTTCAATAATTGCTTTTGTTCTTTGTGTTCACTTTTTTTCTTTTTTTTTTTTTCTGAGATGGAGTCTCGCTCTGTTGCCCAGGCTGGAGTGCAGTGGCATGATCTTAGCTCACTGCAACCTCAGCCTCCCGGGTTCAGGCAATTCTCCCTGCCTCAGCCTCCTAAGAAGCTGGGATTACAGGCGCCCACCACCACACCTGGCTAATTTTTGTATTTTTTAGTAGAGACAGGGTTTCGCCATGTTGGCCAGGCTGGTCTTGAACTCCTGACCTCAGATGATCCACCTGCCTCAGCCTCCCAAAGTGCTGGAATTACAGGCATGAGCCACCGCACCAGGCCTGTTTTTTTCTTTTGAAAAAATGCCAAAGGCTGGCCGGGCGCGGTGGCTCATGCCTGTAATCCCAGCACTTTGGGAAGCCAAGGTGGGTGGATCACCTGAGGTCAGGAGTTCGAGACCAGCCTGGCCAACATGGTGAAACCCCGTCTCTACTAAAAATACAAAAATTAGCTGGGCGTGGTGGCGTGTGCCTGTAATCCCAGTTACTCGGGAGGCTGAGGAGGAGAATCACTTGACCACGAGAGGCGGATGTTACAGTGAGCCGAGATTGTGCCAATGCACTCCAGCCTGGGTGACAGAGGGAGACTCCCTCTCAAAAAAAAAAAAAAAAAAATCCAAAGGCTTGTCTTTTAGTGCAGGGTGCTTGGTCTCCATGTGGCAAAGAAGTTTTGAAGGTTTCATGGCTTTGCTGGATAGCCGGTTGCCACATATTATACAAGGCAGGCTTGGAGAATGTGAATCGCCTGTTGCAATGAACCTGTAATTTAAGTAGGACTCTTGGCATTTTCTTTTAAATGCACCTTTCTTTTTGTTGGCAGTCTTCTGCTGTCTCATTATTGGGTCTTTCCCCTTTTTAAGGAAGCTCTTGGCCGGGTGTGGCGGCTCATGCCTGTAATCCCAGCACTTTGGGAGGCTGAGGCGGGTGGATCACGAGGTCTGGAGTTTGAGACCAGCCTGACCAATATGGTGAAACCCCGTCTCTACTAAAAATACAAAAAGTAGCCAGGTGTGGTGGCGCACACCTGTAATCCTGGCTACTCAGGAGGCTGAGGCAGGAGAATCGCTTGTTGCAGTGAGCCGAGATGGCGCCGCTGCACTCCAGCCTGGGCGACACAGCGAGACTCCATCTCAAATAAATAAATAAATAAATAAATAAATAAATAAATAAAAATAAAAGAAGCTCTCCAGTGACATTTGCTTTTTCTCATTTTGGCTAGGGCTAGCTTGTGGGCTTAGCAAAACTGTGACTGAGACAAGTGCACAGTGATGGAAAGAGGCAAAGACAGAAGTGGTAAATCAAATAAAGGGCAGGCCACACATGGACTAAAATAAACGTCAGATTCTGACTTAAAGCCTGCCACCAGATGCAGCTGTACAATTGAAGTACATCGACTCATCTGCCACTTTAAAGCTTGCCACTAGATGAAGCTTAATTGTCACTTGCTGATAAGGTTTTGATATGAGTCTGCAAACAACTAATTTATTATGGTCTCTGCCGTCAAACCTCTCTGCTAATGTTAATCTGTATTTGCAGCCACTCTCCAGCGCTAGTGTCACCACCTCAGCTCCACCTCAGATCATCAGGCATTCAATTCCTATAAGCAGTGCACAACCTACATCCTTCACATGAGCAGTTCACAGTAGGGTTCGTGCTCCTGTGAGCATCTAATGCCACAGCTGATCTGACAGGAGGTGGAGCTCAGACTGTAATTCTCATTCACCTGCCGCTCACCTCCTCCTGTGCAGCCCGATTCCTAACAGGCGTGGACCAGTACCAGTTTGTGGCCCAGGAGTTGGGGACCCCTGGTCTACAGTCTTATCAAATGTGGTGGACACTATCTGCTTTCACCGATTTTTTTTTTTTTTTTTTTTTTGAGACAGAGTCTTGCTCTCTTGCCCAGGCTGGAGTACAGTGGCACAATCCCGGCTCACAGCAAGCTCCGCCTCCCAGGTTCAAGCCATTCTCCTGCCTCAGCCTCCCAAGTAGCTGGGACTACAGGCACCCGCCACCTCGCCCGGCTAATTTTTTCTATTTTTAGTAGAGACAGGGTTTCACCGTGTTAGCCAGGATGGTCTCGATCTCATGACCTTGTGATCCACCTGCCTTGGCCTCCCAAAGTGCTGGGATTACAGGTGTGAGACACTGCGCCCGGCCAATTTTGAGGGAAGAAACCTAGAATGTATATTAAATATTTTGAGGTGCTGGGCCAGAATATGAAGTACTTGGAAATACAAACAGCATTCTCAACAGGGTTTTCAGTAGAAGATTGGCAATGGGAGGGAAGAAGAAGGGTATGGTATGTAGATGTACAGCTGCATAGAGTTTGGTTTCCTGAATCACATCTTTGGATAATCTTGGCTAGGGGCAGAGTGAATCCCTAAAGGACTATGGGAAAACACATTTTCCCAGAAACATGCCAAACTGATCAAGAGGGCTTTAAGTAAAATGTTGAAGGAAGGAAAGGAGGAAAATCAGGATAATGCCAAGTCTGTATGTGATAGAAGACACCTGAAATGACAGAGAATAACAATGAGCAGAAATCCGACACCTTAAAAGTTATCAGTATGAGACAGTATTTGAAGCTCTGAATACAGATGAGGTTACTGTATCCTCTTCTCTGCTACATTCTGCAAATTAATCTGCAATTGTTTGGCTGTCTTCTGTCAGTTTCAGTTTGGAGGTCTTCCATAGTCAGCAAGGACAAAGCTCAGAAGACAGAGATTGGAATGAAAGGGGCTGGCCAGCCTCCCCAGAAGGGCCACAGGGTGGCATCTTAGTACGCCTACCACAGACCAAAGTCTAGTTCTCAGATTGTGCTACCACACAATCAAACTCACAAGGCACCACTGCAAAATCCAAAACACTAATTCATTTATTTAGTAATGTACAATTGTAAGGACAAGAGAAGCCTTTCTTTCCCATGGCCTGACCTTTATAACTGCCATAAAAAGTGATGCTTTCCTTGCATGAGGGTAACTAGGAGGCTGAATTGTTTATCAAAGAGTGATTAATCCACAAAAAAAGGAAAAGATGATGAACATTAATCTTGAGGGAGGCATGAAATGGTAGTCTGATTAACTATTTCTAATTCTACCAAAGAGGCCTTCTCTAGTGACAAAAATAGCCATATTCTCTAAGTTTGGAATTTCAAGCTGGTGAGTGCTAGATAATCACCACAGTGTTATTTTTATACCATATTCAATAGAATTTTAGGCATCCATTATAATTTTAGCTATGAAGACTATGCAGCAAGGAATATAGGAAATATGTATGGCATAATATCTAACGAGAAAAGCAGGATATGCAATTGTATTTTGTACTCTAATTTCATTGTTTAAACCAAACACATAAGGAAAAAACTGGTGTGAAATACATAAAACTGCTCAGAGTAGTTATATTCAGAAGGTAGTCTTATGACCTTATGAGTGATTTGTGTTTTTCCTTTTTATTTCTTTTTTTTTTCTTTTTCTTTCTTTCTTTTTTTTTTTTTTTTGAGACAGAGTCTGGTTATGTTGCCAGGCTGGAGTGCAGTGACGTGATCCCGGCTCACTGCACTCTGCCTCCCGGGTTCAAGCGATTCTCCTGCCTCACCCTCCCCAGTAGCTGGGATTAGAGGCACGTGACAGCACGCCCAGCTAATTTTCGTATTTTTAGTACAGACCGGGTTTCACCATGTTGTCCAGGATGGTCTTGATTTTCTGACCTCGTGATCCACCTGCCTCGGCCTCCCAAAGTGCTGGGATTACAGGCGTGAGCCACTGCGCCTGGCCTGTTCTCAGCTTCTTTAATTCACATGGTGGAAAAATGCTGCTCAGTCCTATAATATAATTTCTTCCTACCTCCAGCACCTCTGGCCAACTGTTTAGAGACCCAGTATCCCAATTTCCATTCCAGAACATAAAATCCAATTGATCGGCAGGGTGCGGTGGCTCACGCCTGTAATCCCAGCACTTTGGGAGGCCGAGGCGGGTGGACCACAAGGTCAGGAGATCGAGACCATCCTGGTTAACATGGTGAAACCCCCGTCTCTACTAAAAATACAAAAAATTAGCCAGGCATGGTGGCGGGCGCCTGTAGTCCCAGCTACTTGCGAGGCTGAGGCAGGATAATGGCGTGAACCTGGGAGGCAGAGCTTGCTGTGAGCCGGGATTGTGCCACTGCACTCGCCAGCCTGGGCGACAGAGCTAGACTCCATCTCAAAAAACAAAAAACAAAAAACAAAAAACAAAAAAACCCCAAAAATTAGCTGGGCATAGTGGCATGTGCCTGTAATCCAGCCTGGCGACAGAGTGAGACTCCATCTCAAAAAAAAAAAAAAAAATATCCAATTGACCAGTTTGGGTCAGGTGTCCACCGCTGGACTTGGCAATGGCAAGGGAGGTGGGGGTGGGGTCATGTAAAATTGGCTGCTAGCGACCACATCTGGTTAGGAGAAGAGTTCAGAGAAGGGAGTCATGCTTTGGCACACAATTCAAAAGATAATTAACTTTCTGGGTTTCTCAGGAGTCCTCAGGATCAAGGTGGAGAAATAAGAGTGGGTTGAAGAGATCATAAGATAGATTGTAACTGCTTAAATGACCAGAATCTAAAAAGATACATCAATGATATCCTGCCAGAGATTTCTGGAGGGAGTGGCTCTCAGATCTTAGAGGTAGATTTCTAATAGTACTTGTTGGGAGCAAGCCCCCCAAAATCTGGCCATAAACTGGCCCCAAAACTGGCCATAAACAAAATCTCTGCAGCACTGTAACATGTTCATAATGGCCCTAACGCCCACGCTGGAAGGTTGTGGGTTTAGGGGAATGAGGGCAAGGAACACCTGGCCCGCCCAGGGTGGAAAACCGCTTAAAGGCGTTCTTAAACTACAAACAATAGCATGAGCAATCTGTGCCTTAAGGACATGCTCCTGCTGCAGTTAACTAGCCCAACCTATTCCTTTAATTCGGCCCATCCCTTCGTTTCCCATACGGAATACTTTTAGTTAATTTAATATCTACAGAAACAATGCTAATGACTGGTTTGTTGTTAATAAATACATGGGTAAATCTCTGTTCAGGGCTCTGAGGGCTGTGAGACCCCTGATTTCCCACTTCACACCTCTATATTTCCGTGTGTGTGTCTTTAATTCCTCTAGCGCCACTCGGTTAGGGTCTCCCTGACCGAGCTGGTCTTGGCAAGTACTCACCAAGGCTCTATGTGGGTCCTATCTTTTTTCTGTCATCTTTATTAGCCTTAAATTCCCTGGAGCTAGTGAATTTGCTCTTCGTCTTTCTCTAATACCCTTAAATCTCCTCCCTTGTCCACACTCTCAGCTGATGACAGATTTCTTAACTGACTGAGAAAAGTGAAAGGAATCAGAACTGATCATGTTTAACACCAAACCTACTAACTGAGTTACATCAGTTCACATAAGCTTCCTCCCTTCCTATAGAACACATGAACTGTCTCTGCTTCACCTTGTGTGCTGGATTCCATCTCCTCTCAGCTACTTAAGAACTTGGCTTCTGCAATTATTCCCCTATTTCTACCCCTACATCACCAGTTTTTCTCTTTCTACTGGATCATTATCATCATCTTACAACCATGGTGTAATATGAAGGGAAAAAAATCAGCCCCCACAAATAAAGCTATATGTTACCTAGGCTGCCAGTTGGCTATAAAGTTAAGCTATCAGCAGACCCAAAAGCTACTTCTCATGTTCCAGTCCATATGAACAAATACTGTGTACCCATTGAAAAAATATATTTTAGCAGTCTTTACAAATCGCTTTCTGAATGTGTTCAACTATGGTCAACATTATAGAATGTTATGCAATGCACTTGTTCTGTTGGGGTCATCAAGGACTTGAATCTGGTCTCAAGTCTAGTTATTCATCTAGAAGCAATGATACGAGAGGTGATAGGTGTGGGTCTGAAGGTGCATCAGTGTTTCTCTGCAAAGCAACTACTTCAGGAATGGTCATTATAGGTTCTTTAGGCAAGGAAAGACTAATCTCTACAGCAGTAGATGGACCAGATTTCTATTGCTGCTGTAACAAGTTACCACAAATTTAGTGGCTTAAAATAACCCATTTATTATTTTGTAGTTCTAGAGGTCTCACTGGACTAAATTAAGGTGTCAGCAGGGCTGTGTTATTCTGGAGATTTTTAGGGAGAATTTCTTTCCTTGCCTTTTCCAGCTTCCAGAGGCCACCTGCATTCCTCGGCACGTGGCCTTCTCCCTTCATCTTCAAAGCCAGTGGTGCAGCACCTTCAATCTCTCCAACTGTAATCTGACCCTGGCCCTCCTGTCCCCCTCTTACAAGGACCCTTATGATTACCTTGGGTCCACCTGGATAATCTAGGATAATCTTTCCATATCAAGAATCTGAAATGTCCCTCTTGCCATGTAAAGAAATATATTCACAGACTTTATGGATTTGGATGTGGACATCTTTGGGGGCCATTATTCTGTCTATCACAGTAGAGGAAGAATGTTCACAATGAAGGCTTGGCAGAATTTTGAGGTTCAAGGTCATCTGGTTCATTGGAATTTGTTTAAACTCTAATTTCCAAAGTTTCACTGTTTCCTGATCAATACCTTAACTTTAGCCTAAGAGATCATGCAAGTTAATTCCATTTGCTTTATAATTCAGCCATCTTTATGGTCAGAATTTGGGTTCAATTTTCAAAAATCTTGACCATGTAGCTACATGAGGCAAGATTTTCTTTCTTTCTTTTTTTTTTTTGAGACAGTGTCTTGCTCTGTAGCCCAGGCTGGAGTGCAGTGGCGAGACCTCAGCTCACTGCAACCTCTGCCTCCTGGGTTCAAGCGGTTCTCCTGCCTCAGCCTCCTGAGTAGTTGGGACTACAGGTGTGTGCCACCACGCCCAGCTAATTTTTGTATTTTTAGTAGAGACGGGGTTTCACCATGTTGGTCAGGATGGTCTCAATCTCTTGACCTCATGATCTGCCCACTTGGCCTCCCAAAGTGCTGGGATTACAGGCATGAGCCACCACGCCTGGCCAAGATTTTTTTTCCCAGGCAGATAAGAAACATTCTGGTTCCTTGTCCAGGACTTGAAGTAGGAATTTAAGGCCTTGAGCTTATCTTTTTCTTTTTCTAAGTTCTCCAGTGTACTTTGAAATAGTCAACCCACTCCACAATCCTTGTACCCTTTATTTCCATTATATAATCCTATTGCAGCAACTTCTTGGTCATCCAAGGTAGTAACTATTTTGCCACTGTATGCCATGGACCACCAATGCCATTATCACTGGCAATGAGGTCGTTAAAACCTTTAAATCCCATGGGATCAGAAAATTTTTATCCTTAAAGTGTAGCTTCCTGGAAACTACTTATCTTACTAATAACTGGGTATAGTGAGAAAACAAAGTCACTGCAAGTATTCTGGAATAAAGAGATTTAATGTAGGAATTGAGGGTTAGATGGATGTAGGAGAAGCTGGAGGAGTGAAGGTCTGGAGCTGCAGCTGAAGGATTGTAGAACATTCACTAATGACTTCGGCTTGAAGCATTGGAGTTGATGAAAAAGCTGAGCTCATGGAGAAACATAAGAAACCAGAGATTGTGGAGGAGCCTGAGGAGCTGCCATTTATGGCCACCTTGGCCTCAAAGCAGGCACTTGCACGGAAGTCTGGGAAGCTGTCGTGATTGGCTGACACAACTGCAAAGTGGGAGCTGGTGGAGAAATTGAGAAATTGAAAACGGCCACAACTTACTGGGAGAAGTGGGTGATGCTTCCACATCCTGAGAATAAAAGCTTCCTTGCTTTGCCTTCTTATTCTATTGTGAGTACCTGCTATGGGCTGAATGTATCTCCCCAGAGGTCATGTTGAAATCCTAACCCCTAAGGTAACGGTACTAGAAATGGGGCCTTTGATAGGTGGTTAGATTATGAAGGCAGAACCCTCATGAATGGGATTAGTGCCCTTATAAAAGAGATCCCAGAGATCTGCGTTATCAATTCCGCATGTGAGGACCCCTGAGAAGGTGCCATCGATGAATCAGAAAATGAGCCCTCACCAGACACAGAATCTACCAATACCCTGATCTTGGACTTTCCAGCCTCCAGAAGTGTGGGAAATAAATTTCTGTTGTTTATAAGCTACCCAGTCTGTGTCATTTTGTCACAGCAGGCAAAAGGGACTAAAACAGCACCTCTCACTGGCATATCCTAACTTGGGATCATAACGGGAAGGGGATTCTAGGAAATGTTCCTGGTTTTTCCTCTTCAAGGCAGAGATATTACAAGTGGGTGGTATAATGCAAAGTTGACAACCAACAAATCAGTTAGGATACCTTTGATTTAGAGAAATAAACTGGCCAGTCAAACTAGCTTAAATGATAAAGGGAATTTACTGAATCATGTGACTAAGTCTAGAGGCAGAGATAGCTGTAGGGAGAAGTCGATCTGGTTGTTCAAAGAATGTGACCATGACCTGGTATCCTGTTTACCACATCTTAGTAACTCTTCCTTGCTGTTTGATTCCTGTCTTCATAGGGATCTTTCTGCTGTGAAACGGCTGCCAGTAGTTGGTTCCCTTAGCTACATGCTCTGTTTATGACCAATAGGAGAGTATTTCTTCACTCAAATATCAAAAGGAGGCTGGGAGTGGTGGCTCATGTCTGTAATCCCAGCACTTTGGGAGGCCAAGACCAGCAGATCACTAGGTCAGGAGTTCGAGACCAGCCTGGCCAACATGATGGAACCCTGTCTCTATTAAAAATACAAAAATTAGCCAGGCGTGGTGGTGGTCACCTGTAATCCCAACTACTCAGGAGGCTGAGGCAGGAGAATCACTTGAACCTGGGAGGCGGAGGTTGCAGTGATCTGAGATTGGGCCACAGCACTCCAGCCTAGGTGACACAGCGAGACTCCATCTCAAAATAAAAATGAAAATAAAAATAAAATAGAAAAAATAAAAGGGGGCTGGGCACAGTGGTTCACATCTGTAACCCCAGCACTTTGGGAGGCCAAGGTGGGTGGATCACTTGAGGCCAGGCATTAGAGACCAGCCTGACCAACATGGCAAAACCCTGCCTCTACTAAAAATACAAAAATTAGCCAGGTGTGGTGGTCCACATCTGTAATTCCAGCTACTCAGGAGGCTGAGGCATGAGAATTGCTTGAACCCAGGAGGCGGAGGTTGCAGTGAGCTGAAATTGCACCACTGCACTCCATCCTGGGTGAGAAAGCAAGACTCTTTCTCCAAAAAAAAAAAAAAAAAAAAAAAAAAATTCAAAGGGAAGTTCTTCAAATGTGACTAGCTGACTTAGGGGCTGTGCCTGG
Source organism: Homo sapiens (assembly GCF_000001405.40). Taxonomy (NCBI): domain Eukaryota; kingdom Metazoa; phylum Chordata; class Mammalia; order Primates; family Hominidae; genus Homo; species Homo sapiens. The sequence goes on along the minus strand of NC_000004.12, from coordinate 82,382,121 downwards.
CCACAATGTTACCAGTGGTGATGAGTTCATTCTGATGAGCTGGCTTGCTGTTCTGTATTACCTCCTCTGGCTCCACTTGTTTCTCCTATGCTATTTATTACTAAGAGAAGGAAAAACTGATGCTGGGGAGCCCCAAGTAGCAAATGTCTACTACAGTAGCCAAAACATCAAGGATATAAATTAGTTAAACAGAAAAACCCCTCCTACAGAGGTACTATCTAATTATGTGTTACTATTTTTGAAGTGTGACTTTTAAGCAATTGTACTGAGTCTGAGAGCCTGAGAACTCTCAGCCCTGGCATGAGAAAGTGATTATTCTGAGGCAGCTCTTATGGAGTAAGGAAATATCAAATAACTGAGAGCCACTGCAACAAATGAAAAGGCCCCAAAGAGCCACAGGACAGAGACACTTTCCTAAACGTTTTCTTAGGTTTTCAATATTTCTAAATTGAACCTTAATCTGAAAACCCTGACTCTTCTGTATTCTTTCAATAATTATTCTCTTGAACTGCAACTCCTGCAAACTAAGTGGGACAATTATAAACTTAGCAGCTAAAAGAACCTTAAAAGTGGCTGGATAGGCCAGGCGCCTTTTTCCAGGCCTGCCCATGGACCAGTCAGCATGCACTTCCTCCTGCCCATGGACCAGTCAGCATGCACTTACTCCATGCTGAGCCCATAAAAACCCTGGACTCAGCTATACTCAGACTCTGGTCAGGACTGCCTCCCTGAGGATAGGAGATACCCACTTCAGGTCTCCTCTCCACTGAGAGCTGTTTGATCTCCCAATAAAGCTCTTCTCCACCTTGCTCACCCTCCAGTTGCCCGCATAACCTCGTTCTTCCTGCAAGTGGGACAAGAACTTGGGACCTGCCAAATGGTGGGAGTGAAAGGAGCTGTGGCTGTGGGTGGGAGCTAAAGGGGCTGTAACACTTTTCTGGTTGGCTCACCGAGCTGCAGGCAAGTGACACTCTCCCAGACTGTGGGAGTGAAGAGTGACAACCCTTCTGGGGTTCCAGACCTCAGGATTTCCCAAGCCAGAGCTGTAACCCTATAGCCTTCCTGTCTTCTGCCGGCACTGGGCAGCTGCCCCACACAATGGGAAGCAGTGGTGGGGCTGGGCCAGTCCAGGAGCCGCAGGCTGGAGCAGAGTGGCAGCACTGAAAGAGCTGTTAACACAAATGGGCTGAAACATGCCCCTCAACTCCCCAAGCTGTGGGTGACAAGAAGGAGAAAAGAGCTGTGGCCCTTCTGGGAGCCCAGACCTCAGGGTTTCGAGCTGGGGCTGTGACATGCTGTAACACCCTCTTTGGGGTTCTGCGGTTCCTGGTGTCTCTGAACTTTCAGGCGCCACTATGTTCCCCTCATCCAGACGCTGGTGCCTGCAGTGGAAGCCACCTGCAGTACATCTTGTCCAGCCGCAGCCTCGCATGGAGCCAGTGCTTGTGCTGGTGCCTGGAGCTGCTCACCCTGCTGCAGCAGCCAGCGTGCTTGGCTGTACACAGTGGCCAGACTCCATGCTCACTCACTCACACACCCCTCACTGCTCTGTGCATGGCTCACCCTTGGCAGGCATGAGATCTGGGCTGGTAGTGCAAGTGGAGTGCAGCCTGCTGGGCCACGTGGGCGGAACAAGCCCAGAGGGCATGGTAGCAGAGGTGCTACCAACCGCAGAGCTTTCCGGCTGGCAAAGAGACACCCAAAGGATCCTGTGACGTTATGGACAAACGCCACCTGCAGTAGCTAATCAAAATCTCATTCCAGAACTTCAGAAAGGGGTGGAAAATAAAGGAAAAAATATTGCATTGGATGAAAACGCTAGTCTGAGTCTTTACTGGAAATATTATCAATAATATTAATTCAAGTCTTTCTTGTTTAATTTTGAATGATCCCTTATTGTCATTAGAGCACGATTTTTCTTTGCAGAAAAATATCCTTCTAGGAAAAATAAGCAAAGTCACATGACCACATGTAAATAACACCCTCTTTGTAGATTTATCTTCTCAGAATAAATTAACCAAGAAAGGCTAAAAAAATAGTCAATTCATGGCCTGTCGCGGTGGCTCACGCTTGTAATCCCAGCACTTTGGGAGGCCGAGGCAGGCAGATTACTTGAGCTGAGGAGTTCAAGACCAGGTTGGGCAACATGGTGAAACCCCACCTGTACAAAAAATACAAAAATCAGCCAGGTGTGGTGGTGCACACCTGTGGTCCCAACTACTTGGGAGGCTGAGGGTGGGAGGATCACTTGAGCCCAGGAGGTTAAGGCTGCAGTTAGTTGTGATTGTGCCACCGTACTCTAGCCTGGGCAACAGAGCGAGATCCTGTCTCAAAAAAAAAAAAAAAGTCTTTTCTTGACAGTGCCCTTTTAACTCATCTCCCTGATGTCCTCCCACAGTCCACCGTCCACACAGCATCCATTATCTTCCACTTAAAGTCAGGTCATGTTCTTCCTCTGCTCAAAACCCTTCCATGGTTTCTCATGACTTTGATAATAAAAGTAGAGTGCCAACCACAGTTTACAAGACCCTGAGTAAGCTCATTACTGGCTACCTCTCAGGTATGATCTATTATACTTGCTTTCCTTCACTTTAGCCACACTGGACTCCATTTTTCATTGTAAGCACAAATCACGCTCCTGCCTCAGGTGTACCCTTTGCCTTGTAAAGTCTTCCCTAAGCTAAGTATATGGTTTTCTCTCTTACTTTCTTCAGGGCACTACTCAAAAAGTTATTTCCTTGAAGAGTTTTCTCTGACTGTCCTATAGCACATATCCTATGTGTAGCATTTTATCTTTTTCTTCCTATCACTTCCTAAAATTATATTACATATCTATTTGTCTGTCGTTTGTCTCTGCCACTAGAATGTCAGCTCCATGAGACCAGAGACCTTGCCTATTTTGATCACTGTTATATTTCCCAGTCCTAGAAATGTACATGTGCCATTAATGTGTTGCATGGTTGAAAGTGAATAACTACCTAGAAATTACCCCAGTATTTATGTTCTAAGAAGCATTTAGATGAATCAAGATATATCTTGGAGGTGGGAGGAGTTGGTGATTGATTGGATGTGGGGGGTGAGGGAGGGGGGATATCAAAGATGATTCCCTGGATTTTGGCAGGAATATATGGGTGGGTGGAGATGTCATTTACTGAGAAGAGGAAGACCAAAGAAGCAGGTTTGTAGGGAAAGTAGAGTTCAGTTTTGGACATCTAAAGCTTGAGATTCCTGTGAACATTCAAGTAGGGATGTCAAATAGGCAGTTTGATATGTAGGTCTGGAGTGAGAGGAGTGTATTTCCTTATTATTTCTTTTTTAAAGAGATGGGGGTCTCACTGTATTGCCCAGGCTGGGCTTGAATTACTGGGTTCAAGGGAATCTCCTCTTTCAGCCTTCTGAGTAGCTGGGACTACAGGCGTGTGATCAGCTTTGTCTGAATTCTTTTTTGAGCTACGTTTTAAAAAACTGTATCTAAAAGAAACTATTGACATCCTCATGAGTAAGCAGAACTGACTCTACAGTATTAGACTTTATGGCTGAAGTAAAACCCGACTTTTCAGAAGTTGATAGGGCTTTTATTTTCTGAATAAAGTGAAGCTTCCTGATAACCAAGGAATATGACAGAGAATGTTCACTGCATGGGCAATTGGTCACTTCACGTAAAATCACAAACTAACTCTCCAACAAAATGCTTAAATCCCACTGATGGTGTTCTGCAAATAGGTCCAGATAGGTTATAGGCTGTTTAACATGGTTGTAGAAGCAGCTCAAGTATGTGTACCTTGTATAAAAAAATGGGTTCTTTGGCTGTTTCTTCCACACTGTTTATTCCAGGTTGCCAACTGGCATACATACCCTATTAATACTTTAAAAATTTGAACATAAGGGAACCTCCTGCTGCATTTGCAGACTGCACCTAGCAGATGAAAACTGACTTCCTTGGCTTAGGTGTATGCATCTTGTTCTAGGTAAAAGTGATTCCAGTTTAATTCTCAAACAGACTTCATTTTTGGCCTTTTACAAGTACTTTAGTTTTTGCTGCAGAGAATAATTGCTTTACAAAGGCTAAATTCAATGATGATCTAGCATTTTAGTGTGTTATCTGAAACACACTGGGAATCTCCTAAAGCAATGGAATAGTTCATGTCTGTACATTGACAGGGGATATTCCTTCCTTCTACTGTTTGGGGCAAGTCCAATACAGCATCTCCAGCCACTTAAACAATTAATTGTTACCTATGAATGTGTAACAAAAAGTTTCATTTCATTCTCAAGAAATTTCATACATCCATCACCAGGTCATTTGAAGAAGCGTTTCGTTGTTGTTGTTGTTTTTGAAACAGGCTCTTGCTCTGTCGTCCAGACTGGAATGAAGTGGCATCACTGCTCACTGCAGCCTTGAATTTTTGATTCAAGCAATCTTCCCACCTCAGCCTCCTGAGTAGCTGGAACCACAGGCTCACGCCACCACACCCAGCTAATTTTTTTTTTTTTTGAGACATAGTTTCACTCTGTCACCCAGCTTGAGTACAGTGGTGCAGTCTCTACTCACTGCAACCTCTGCCTTGTGGGTTCATGTAATTTTCCTGCCTCAGCCTCCCCAGTAGCCAGGATTACAGGCGTGCGCCACCACGCCCAGCTTATTTTTGTATCTTCAGTAGAGATGGGGTTTCACCACATTGCCCAGGCTGCTCTCGAACTCCCGGCCTCAAGTGATCCACCCACCTCGGACTCTCAAAGTGTTGGGATTAGAGGCGTAAGCCACCGCACCCGGCAACAGAAACGGGTTAAACACAACCCAAGGCGTCCCTGGGTGGGCAGGAACTGATTTTTTAAATTTTTTGTAGAGATAGGTTTTGCTATGTTGCCGGGGCTGGTCTCAAATTCCTGGCTTGGCCGGGCGCGGTGGCTCACACCTGTAATCCCAGCACTTTGGGAGGCCGAGGCGGGCGGATCACGAGGTCAGGAGATCGAGACCGTCCTGACTAGCACAGTGAAACCCCGTCTCTACTAAAAATACAAAAAAAATTAGCCGGGCGTGGTGGCAGGTGCCTGTTGTCCCAGCTACTTGGGAGACAGGAAGGAGAATGGCGTCAACCCGGGAGTGAGCCGAGATCGCGCCATTGCACCTCCAGCCTGGGCAACAGAGTGAAACTCTGTCTCAAAAAAAAAAAAAAAAAAAAAAAAATTCCTGGGCTCAAGCAATCATCCCTCCTTGGCCTACCAAAGTGTTGGGATTATAGGCATGAGCCACAGCACCTGGCCAAAAGTTTTTTTTTTTTTAATGCCAGAGATGAAATGAGATGGTGTGGAGAGGAGACTTTCAAGTCCCTGGAAGAACACCTAGTTTGCTTGAAAGCCCCTTAATCTAACAAGTTGGACATACTTATTATTTTGTCATTCAATAATTCAACTGGCAATTACATAGTGTGGATATACTGCTGCTGTGTTTATGTGTGTGTGAGAGTGTGTTAGGGAGGGAGAGATACATAGAAGACACTGTTTTCTAAGAACTCATGGTCTAGTAGAAAACAATGAAGAATAACAGAGGTAAAGATAAAGGGCTGTGAAAAGGGATCATTAATTCTGCCTCAGGAAGCCTGGGAAGACTTCACATAAATAGTAACATTTGTTTGTTTTTGAGACAGGGTCTCACTCTGCCTTTCTCACTGCAGCCTCCACCTTCCAGGTTCAAGTGATCCTCCCACTTCAGCCTCAGGAGTAGCTGGAACAACAGGAACCACCATGCCAGGTTAATTTTCTGACTTTTTGTAGAGGCAAGGTCTCACTCCGTTGCCCAGGCTGATGGCCAACTCCTTGAGGCAAGCAATCCTCCCGACTTGGCCTCTCAAAGTGCTGGATTACAGGCGTGAGCCACCACGCCTGCCAGAAGTTAAGTGAGTTCCAAGAAGAATATTGTGTGGATGCAGGAGCACATCCTGGATGTAGAGATCTTGGCCATAATATCAAGGACTATCAGTGATATGGACATCATACATCCTCATAAAGCATGTAAAGGTGTTAGCTTTAAAATCATTCCTAGGTTGTCTGGAACTTTTGACATAAATTCTAAGAATTCCAGAAGCTCCTAAGCTACATGTGAAATCAAAATGAACCTTTTGGAAAAGTCACTATTACCAAAAGGTGGGTATGTCTAATGATATCTTAAGATCAAAATAAATGACAATTACCGTCACTTGAGCCAGAAAAGATTAAACAGACTTCCCTTCAGTCAATCATCTTAGTTGTATCTAACCCGGAATATATGGTTTGAGCACCATATCCACTTTATCCTTTGCTAATATTCTGGCAGGTGGAGACAAATGTGGAGTCACTACCACTTTACGGTAAACATTCTTGGTATTACCTTTATGTGACTTGATTATTACGGGAGTTTGGTAAGATTATATTTTTAGGACGTTTTCAGAATTTGACCTGTATTCTTGAGTTTTAATTATTCTGTAATGTAAATTCTACTAACTTGATTAATAAAACTTACTTATAATCTTCCTTTGAGATTTTTGGATAGTGTCCAATTAATACAAATTCGTTTAACTGCAGTGGAAAATACCTAAACTTTTTTTTTTTTTTTTTTTTTGAGACGGAGTCTCGCTCTGTCGCCCAGGCTGGAGTGCAAGTGGCATGATCTCGACTCCCTGCAATCTCCACCTCCCGGGTTCAAGCGATTCTCCTGCCTCAGCCTCCTGAGTACCTGAGATTACAGGTACCGGCCACCACGCCCGGCTAATTTTTGTATTTTTAGTAGACACGGGGGTTTCACCATGTTGGTCAGGCTTGTCTCGAACTCCTGACCTCGTGATCCGCCCGCCTCGGCCTCCCAAAGTGCTGGGATTACAGGCGTGAGCCACCGCGCCCGGCCCAAATACTTAAACTCTTAAGATTTTTGCTGGAGTCTGCAAACTCGTCTTTGTTTCCCCCGTGCCCGAACACTTTAATTAAACAGGCAAATAATTATTTGTTGACTACAGAAGTACCTAGAAGCTTCATTTTCTTCTAAGGATACTGCTGGAAGCAGCAAATCCCAAAGCCCGAATAATCCAGTCTCCAGCCGAGGCAGCGGGAATTTTTAATAGGTGTATAAAATTACTTTTTATACACCTTAATGAAACGCCTAACGGTGTTACAAGAAAAGAAAAAAAAAAACCACGCACACACAACAAAAAAGCCAAACCCGAACACAAACTCATAAACCTCGTAAAGATGACTCACGACATTTATATATTCTATGTACAAAGGCTAAAGAACATTAAGCGAACCCTTGATTTAACACACTTTCCAATTATTAGTAACGTAAAGGAATCACGGTACGTTTTAGGATCTTTAAACAACAAAAGCAAAGCAAAAACAATGTTTTCCTTAAGATATGCAAGTTACCTGCTTCTTCGACCAAAAACAAAAAAATTCCAGGAGAAAAGCAGGCAAACAAAAATCTTACTTGGAAAGCCAAATCTTAAAAAGAAGCCCTATCGGCCCAGCGGCGATAGACGAAAACCTCAATGTCACCCGGTCCCGGGCGGCGACGGCAGGGAGAGTAGCTGCGGCAATCAGTGCGCGCGCGGTCCGCTGCGGCGCCTGGCGCTCCGCGGGCGTCCGGGTGGACAGCGCCAGGGGCACAGGGCTGACATCTCAGGGCTAATTCCCTCCTCCAGTGCGTAAATCCAGGCTTAAGCCGCCGCAGGGTGTGAGCCTCCCCTCCCCCACCCGAACGCCGCAGCTGCACGGGGCACGACAGCCTTCGCAGAGGTGCAGCCACACCCCGGCCTAACGCTGCTGCTCCCGCCGCTACTGGAGTGGTGGGGAGGGGTGAGTGGACTCCAGGAATCCTCGGAAGGGCGGGGGCGGAGGCAGGGGGCCCCTCTAGCCGCTACTTCGAAACAGCACTCCTTGTTCTCGATGGTCCCCGCGCGACTGTCTTAGCTCACGACACTTCCGGTTCCTTTTAAAGGCCCCCAAGGCTGTGCAACGCGGAGCGTGAGAGGAAGGTATAAAGGGTAGCGAGAGGGCGGGACCGAGGAGGAAAGGGAAAAAAAAAAAACTAGGGGGATAGGGGTGGGGGGACGCGCGAAGGGCGCGCTCTCGCGTCACGTGACCGGGACGCGCCGTTCTTCCGTCGGCCATTTTAGGTGGTCCGCGGCGGCGCCATTAAAGCGAGGAGGAGGCGAGAGCGGCCGCCGCTGGTGCTTATTCTTTTTTAGTGCAGCGGGAGAGAGCGGGAGTGTGCGCCGCGCGAGAGTGGGAGGCGAAGGGGGCAGGCCAGGGAGAGGCGCAGGAGCCTTTGCAGCCACGCGCGCGCCTTCCCTGTCTTGTGTGCTTCGCGAGGTAGAGCGGGCGCGCGGCAGCGGCGGGGATTACTTTGCTGCTAGTTTCGGTTCGCGGCAGCGGCGGGTGTAGTCTCGGCGGCAGCGGCGGAGACACTAGCACTATGTCGGAGGAGCAGTTCGGCGGGGACGGGGCGGCGGCAGCGGCAACGGCGGCGGTAGGCGGCTCGGCGGGCGAGCAGGAGGGAGCCATGGTGGCGGCGACACAGGGGGCAGCGGCGGCGGCGGGAAGCGGAGCCGGGACCGGGGGCGGAACCGCGTCTGGAGGCACCGAAGGGGGCAGCGCCGAGTCGGAGGGGGCGAAGATTGACGCCAGTAAGAACGAGGAGGATGAAGGGTGAGTAAGGGGCATCCCAGGATAGTCAGGCCCAACTAGTCCCCCTCCCCCTCTTTATTCCCCCGCCATTAGGCCTGGTTCCCGCTCTCAGCCCGTTCTCCGGGCCCCCATGCAGCCTCCTTGCACTGGTCTCCCTTTTTCTATGTTGGGTTCCCCGGACCTTCATTTCCTTCTTCCTTTGCCTGCTTATCGCCCCCCTCCCCCATCACACACGTTTCCACCTTTAGCCGTCACCATGCTGCTCCTCGGCCCGCCCTCCTTTCCTCCCTCGCCATGGGTCTCCTCCCACCGACTTAGCCGCCAGGATTTTTTCCCGCCTGTCGTGGGGTACCTTTTTTCTTTCCATGCTGTCCCCTCTTTTTCCCTTTTTCTACAGTCTTGGGCATAAAAACACAGACACAAACAGCTTCTCTGTTTGTATTACTAAGGTTTATTTGGTGCTTCTCCACCATCCTGAAACGATGCGATTGTTTATAAGCACATGTTTTGGGGAACGCGTAGGCTGTCCACCTCTGCCTCTCCCTTGTCGGCCTTAGGCCGACTGTTTTCTTGGGATTTTGAATAAGTTTCGCCTAAGGATTTACTCATTTTCTCCACCATACGCTATCGCACAATGGCATACTCATACAGGCCCTACATTTTGACATGCAGACCAAATTGGGTCTGGTGAAATGCTCCGAGTTTCTTGTTGGTACATTGGTTTTGCTCCGCGGGCTCTGGTTAAGTTCTTAGTCGATCGGGCCTGCACTTGACTGGAGCTGTTCCTATCTCCGGCCTAGCATCTACCCTTCCCCCACCCCACTGAGTTATTCTAACCGCGCACCCTTTTCGCGCCCTCAGCTATTGGGTTCCCCAACTGTTAGTACAGATTGTACCTTACTTTTTATGTGCAACCTAATTTTTTACAACCCCCAGCCCCCTTTTTTTCCCGGTGCCCAGGATCCTATTTTGGTGTCTTGATATCTGTTTCCCGCCCACTAAGGGAGGCCTGTAGTCCTCTTAAGAGAAACAAATCCTGTATTGTGCTATGGGATACTTTTTTTTTCTTTTTGGTGCAAATTTCTTAGTATTAACTTGCTTCCTCCAATTGAAATAACAGTTGTATATACTACCTAAATCTGCATTTAGTGTATTAAAATGCAGCATTTGGGATTGGGAACATAATACGGGAGTTAGCAGGAGGGACTAAATCAGGTTTCTTGGTTGAGTTTTCTTAGCTCCGATTACTGACCGATGATCGTGGGTTCACGCTTCCATTCCTTTTTGTAATGGGGAGGGGTGTGTGTGTGTCTGAATTTTTTTTTAACTGTAAAGAGAAAGGTGTTGGTGGATATAACAAGATGTCGCTTTAATCTAGTATTAGAAAACACGATTTCCTTTACTGAGAAAGAGCCCAGGATTTGGAGGGAAAGTTGGGAGGGGAGAAGCACTTTGGAATATAGGGTTTATTAAGCCCAGCCTAGGCAGATTCTTGTCAGGCTGTTTGATGATAGTGCTGGTTTTGGGGGAGTGGTGGTGGGAAGGGAAGCAAACTTTTAAAAATTAAACAGAACCAACTCGAATTGTATATAGCTTATTTGAGAAAGGAAGATGTTAGATATTTGGAAACTTAAAACCTTTAACATTTTGGTTTTCGTTTGCTGAATTCTGTTCTTTGGACAGAGGCACCAAAATGATTAATTGTATAACTTCCTGTTTGGGGCAGGCTTTCTGTTAGCCCTGATAATTCAAATCGCAAAGCAGCTGACTTTATAGTTACCTACTGTTGAAGTGTAAATGAATTAAAGTTTTTAACCCTAACAGTGTCAAAAACTAAAACTAGAATTTTGATTGGTTGCTGTACCGGTTGTTAATTCCCTAGCCATTCAAACTCCTCCCCACGACACTCTGAAGCAGCGACGGCACAGCGGGAAGAATGGTAAAACTTTTAAATTTTATTTCTGTATTATAAAGGTTTCAGTAGTCATAATATGTAGAGGCTGTGTATTGGTTAGTTGCCCATTGATCCCCAGGAAATTCTAGACCATAGTACATACAGTAGGTTTGTACCTGGGATATATACCTTTTATAGGCATCATGTGTAATCTTTGGGCAAAATTGATGCCGTTACATGGTATTTGGTCTGTGGTAATGCATGTAGTTGCAGTTTGGCAATTTAAGCTAAACAATTAGTAACGATATTTTTATATCGAGCAAGAAAAAATATTACCGTAATCTTCACATTTGATTTATTTTAAGATGAAAAATATTTTTGTTGGAATTTAAGTTTAATGGCTAAATATGAAGACTCCTTGATATAAAATATTGTGTTTAAAATGTCATGCATGTTATACTGAAATATTCTGGAGATGTCTGAAGCAGTTCTTTAAGCAGCACTGTGTATTATGGAAAAATGTTTGTCTTTTACCTAGCATATTTGTAAATAGACCTTTAATAAGAAGTGTGTGTGTGTGTGTGTGTGTGTATATATATACCATTAAAAGGTGGGCTAATGTGGCTTTCCACTACAGCTCTTACCAGATTTTTTATTTTCAGTGTGATTTGGCTGGAATATTAATAACAGTTGGTTGACATGTATTCACAATTGCATGACTTCTCTTTGGAGGCTGGTAGGTTGAGTATTGTTCTTTTTATCCATCCTTTCCCCTCCCCTAAATGTCAGTCTTTCTGCTTTTAGGATTATATTTGAATTTTCAGGGGTTTATACACCACCACTGGAGAGTAGAAGGCCACTAACTTGCAGGCAGTTAACTTATATCTTTACAAGCTACATTCTATTTTAAGAGCCTATTTAGGGTAACATTTAAAGATTTGCTTATCACTGTATTCTCATCCACTGAAATCAGTCCAGCTTTACCTTGGAGAAAAAGCAGATGGGAAACAGGCAAGGGGAAAAGCAAAAAAGAGGAAAAAAAAAAGACTGGGGTCACAGTTTCGATGAATGTTATTCCCTGTATTTGGTGAGTGGTGGGCACTAGCAGCTCAATTTCACTGCTAGCTAATAGTGGCAAATTAAGATTAAACTATAAACTATTTGACATTACTCCATTATGTATTTTGAGTCTCATGTAATTGTTTCCAGTGATTTGAAATGACCATAAACTTAAATTTGAAGGTCAGTGTTTTGACTCTTCGAAGTAATTACACTTGACCTGCTACCTAAAACGATGTAATATTACAACTTTTTTGAATAATCTCAGGAAAAATGGAGAAATGTTTATATTCATAGTTAATAAACATTCTAGATAGTAACCAACTGTCATTTACTGAAAATAAAATTTTACCCAGGTTTATTTTATTTTTGAGACGGAGTTTAGCTTTTGTTGCCCAGGCTGGAGTGCAGTGGTGTGATCTTGGCTCAGCGCAACCTCCACCTCCCAGGTTCAAGCAATTCTCCTGCCTCAGCCTCCAAAGTAGTTGGGATTACAGGCATATTCCACCATGCCTGGCTAATTTTGTATTTTTAGTAGAGACAGGGTTTCTTCATGTTGGTCAGGCTGGTCTCGAACTCCCGACCTCAGGTGATCCGCCTGCCTCGGCCTCCCCAAGTGCTGTAATCACAGGCGTGAGCCACTGCGCCCGGCCTAGCCAGGTTGATTTTAAAATTACACTTAAAAATAATGTTCTCATTTTTAAGGGCTCTAATATTTGACTTTTCTTAACTTTCCAATTATGCAGCCCTATCCTGTTCCAGACGTTAAGGCTTTCTTTTTGAATGAAAAACTTTCAGACTTTTTTCTCTCTCTTTTTTTTTTTTTGGTGTCTGCACTCCCCACCGTATCTGTCCCTTCCTCTTTCTCCCATTTTGAGGGATATTATAAGGGCAACAGTTTTATAGTCTCAATATTGAGGGTAAGACTGGTTAATAGAGTATCCAAATTGAATTTATTAAACACAGTTCTGTGTGCATTTCCTTCTGCAAATCTGAGAATAAAGTGATTACAGTTTCATCCTAAAATACTTTAAAAATCAGTTGGTTTTAGAAATAGGTTTTTTTCCTTTTGCATGTAAGAATGGACAGCTATTTTTAGGAAGGCATGCCTGTTACACCTCTAGTGGATGTTTCTACAGTTTACTATGGGACTTTAGAATAAGTAATTATTTCCATAGTATGCCCTCCTGAGTTCACTTTGATTTACTCTTTCCCACATTAACATCCGTAGTTTTTACTTATAAGCATTGGAATTTCTCATTTTACTTTGTGGTGTGGACCCATTCTGTTCTCTGCAGTGCTGCAGTTCATTTGGGGTAGGTACTTTAAAATTATTTAGTGTCTGGCAAAATATACATGCCATGTAGCAAGCTCTCTGAGGGCAGAGTTTTTAAAGTTTAAAAATCAATGGAAACTACAATGTTGTGTTAACTTTGAGATAGTTTTACAAGGTAGGTACATAGACTTTCCTGCATTGGATTGGGTAGGAAGCAAAAAAGTCCCCCCATTCACTTAGCCAAAGTCCAGCAATGCTTCTTTAATAACAGGACAGTAGATATTGTCCTGTTAATGGTTAGTGTATAATGAGCCCAAGTGTGATTCTTCCCATTTGGGAATTCTGTGAATCCTGCTGTAGGTTGTTGCCTGTCTGATTATAAAAGACTAGGCTCATGTTTTTGCTTTAAATGTTTGAGATTATGGTCTTATACCTTAGTGCTTCTGGGGCAATCTGAACATTGTTTGCTTTGTAAAATAATTTCTTTTAGAGTAGTCTCATGCCAAATTTACTGGCCTTTGATTCAGTACAGTTGGGTTTACTGTATGTAGTAAAGTTGAGACCCTGCGTAGATTGGTCTCAGTGTTAGCATTCTTGGGAGCCTTTGACAAATTTCCCGAGTTAAAAATTCCAGAAATTGATGTCCCCAGATCTTTAGATGAACATTTAAGCGAAGAGTATTAAATACTTCTCACTGTAAATTTTCATCTATTATGAAAGATACTAAAAATAATCTCGTTTTTTAAGTTTGGAATTGGGAGAATGTCATTGAAGTTTTTCAGTGCTTGTTTTTGAGATACACATACTTTGCCTTAAATCTGGGGTTTTTTCCCTTAAGCCATGTGACCCTTTCTACAAACTCAGTGTATGTTTTTAATATTTCCTGGGTACTCTGCTATCGTCCTAATACATAATATTAGGGTAAGGCTGCCCTAATACGAGAACATTTTGAGTATACTATTGAGTATACATTTGAGTATACATATTGAGTATACTATTTATGCCAACGTGAAGGATGTGATTAGTTTTAGCCTTCAAGTCATAATACATACCATGCTTGAAAGCATTTAAAAAGGAATAGAGTAATTTTTTTTCCCATTCCACTTGGAAGCTGTGTACCTCAAGTGTGTGCACATTTACAAATGGGTGAAACATAACTTATGTTAGTCCAAGCTTGATTTGACTTCAGTTCTGCTTCAACGTTTTAGTAGATAGGGCACTGAACTGGATGCTGAAAGCGTGGGATCTCTTTCTGTTGCTTCACTTCCAACAGTGTGGTTTCAGGTAATACGACATGTTTGTTACTTGGTTTGCTGATCTATGTGTTGGAAACAATGCTCACCACAGGAGGATTGACTACATAGCCTGCTTTCATAGCTTGTGTGTATTTATCCAGTGCCCTAATAGTTGATACTGCCAGTGATTTACTCCTGTGGAGTAAAGGTAAGCATGTTTTAGTTTCTGGAGTATTATATTGTACGTTGGAGCTAGGTATTTAAGAATATTTGGGGGTGGGGAGGGAAGACTCCAATTTACTGGTGGTGCTTGGCCAGTAATCAAGGTGACAGTTTAAGTATTGGGTCTTGCACTGTAAACTCCTGCTTATCTAGACTTCAGACTACCACAGAGCCCACACAGCCAGGAAGTCTGTCTCCCCATTTAGTCTTATGAGCAAGATAGATGAAGCCATGAGAAAATATACTCAAAAAGCAACCAACAGACAATGTCATGGAATGAATCTCCTACAGATTTTTCCTTACACTTTTGAAAAGTAACATGATTTTAAAACGTTGGAAAATTCATCAAGGTACAAATCATTTTCTGACTTCAGCATTGATACCTAAATTGATTTCCAGTACACAGTTTTATAGAATTGTGAATATGTAGTAATCTCAGTTAACCAGAACCTTAACCTTCAGGTTAAGGAAAATACCTATTCCTTAACCTCTAGGTAAATGGGAGTTTACCTTACAAAGCTGATTGAGAGCTTATTTAAAACGTAAACATACAAGATGTCATTGCTTCCTTGTAGTGAAGTGAAAAGGAGGTATTGGATTAAGCATTTAAAGTTAATTAAAGTAGTGGCTCGTGCCTGTAATCACTGGCTACTCAGAAGTCTTGAGGTATGAGGATCATTTCATGCCAGGATTTCTAGACCAGCTAGGCAACATAATATGACCCCTGTTTCTTTAAAAAAAAAAAAAAAAAAAAGGCTAGTGTGTTGGGGGGTGTGTTTGTAGTTGTAGTTACATCTACTCAGGAGGCAGAGGCAGGAGAATGTGTTGAGCCCAGGAAGGAGCTCAGGGCTGCAGGAAGCTATGATGGAGCCACTGCATTTTGATAGTGAGACCTGGTCTCTTAAAGTGTTTTATTTTTAGGCCAGGCGTAGTGGCTCACACCTGTAATCTCAGCACTTTGGGAGGCCAAGATGGGTGGATCACCTAAGGTCAGGAATTGGAGACCAGCCTGGCCAACATGGCGAAACCCCAGCTCTACTAAAAATACAAAAATTAGCCAGGTGTGGTTACATGCGCCTGTAGTCACTCAGGAGGCTGAGGCGGGAGAATCACTTGAACCCTGGAGGCGGAGGTTGCAGTGAGACAAGGTTGCACCACTGCATTCCAGCTTGGGCAACAGAGCAAGACTCCGTCTCAAAAAAAGAAAAAAAAAGTTTATTTAAAAAACTGTCATGTTGGCCGGGCGCGGTGGCTTATGCCTGTCATCCCAGCACTTTGGGAGGCTGACGCAAGCGAATCACCTGAGGTCAGGAGTTCGAGACCAACCTGGCCAACATGTTGAAACCCTGTCTCTACTAAAAATACAGAAATTAGCCGGGCATGATGGTGGGCATCTGTAGTCCCATCTACTTGGGAGGCTGAGGCAGGAGAAGAGCTTGAACCCGGGAAGCAGAGGTTGCAGTGAGCCAAGATCGCGCCACCGCACTCCAGCCTGGGCGACAAAGCGAGACTCTGTCCCCCTCCCAAAAAAACTGTCATGTTTCATTTATTAGATGTTTATTTTTTCAACTTCGCTTTTTAGTAGTCATTTAGTTAGGTTCATTCTAAAGTGTGAAGTAATGAGATTTAATACAGAGAAGTCTCTGAAAATGTTTGGTCCATTGTATATTAGTCTTGAATAAATGGAATTCTTTTTCACACTTACCTTGAAAATGTCATCTGTAGAAAGCTGGGGGAGAGGAATACCTATTCTTTAATGATGGGGAAATAATACCAAAATTTATATTTTTATTGACTAAAGTGTTTTTTGGGGAAGATTTGTTATTGGCTAACCTTAATGTCTCATTAGTTTTAAATAGTTAAAAAAAGTGGGCTGGGTGCGGTGGCTCACGCTTGTAATATAGCACTTTGGGAGGCTGAGGTGGGCAGATTGAACCCAGGAGTTCCAGACCAGCCTGGGCAACATGATGAGATCCTGTCTCTACAAAAAAAAAAAAAAAAAAAAAAAATTAGCTGGGCCTCGTGGTGTGCACCCATAGTCTCAGCTACCCAGGAGCTTGAGATGGGAAGATTGCTTGAACTTGGGAGGCAGAGGTTGAAGTGAGCCAGGATCACACCATTGCACCACAGCCTGGCAATAGAGCGAGACTCTGTCTCAAAAAAGTGGTTTTCATGAATTTTATACCAGATCAGATCTAAAAAGGCTGGTTAGTATTTGAACTCGATGAAAGCTTGTCAAGCTCTCTCCCAAGGTAGTTTTCATACAACTTGTAAAATACCCTAACGTGTGATATTATCTAGTTGCATTGTAACCTCCTCCCTTCCCCTTAGGTAACTAGTGACTTAGCTTTAGTTTGTCATTTTAGGATTTTAGAAGAATAATTATGATGGATAAAATACTGGAAAAATTCAGTAAGGATTTAATGGTGTGCTTGAGTAACATTACTTTAAAAGATGACAGTGATTGGTCATTTATGTTTTATACCTGAAATGTATATCAGGTTGACATTCTGTTGTATTTTTTAAACTGTCAGAACTTGTTATAAAGCCATGTATGTAAGATCATAAGTTGTTAGGAAGTGTTTAAAAGTTAAAGGATTGGCTGGGTGTGGTGGCTCATGCCTGTAATCCTAGCACTTTGGGAGGCTGATCGCTATGTCCAGGAGTTCTGTGACTAGCCTGGGTAACAGAGCAAGATCTCGTCTCTAAAAAAGTAAAAATAATACGAAGTTATAGAACATAGAAAAAGAATACTATTCCAAAATTGGGAGTGAGTATAATGGCTAACTTTTTACCTTGAATAAGGTGTTTGACAATAAAGACTTATTAGGGGAGGTATCTTGGAATAAAATAGTTAATATTGACTGGGAATGTTAAAAACCTAGTGACCTAAATAGTCCAGAGAATAAGTTTATTGATGGGGAAAAGCCAGGATTATTAAATCGGAACATTTTCCACCAGCCAGGATTGCTCCATGTATATTTCCTTTTATGTTTTAAATTATTCTTTACTAAAATTACTGGCATAAATGTAGGGTAGACCAAGTCATCAAGGTGATTTTGGAAGCTACATTTAAAGGGTCTTAGTTGAAATACCACCTAATTTTTAGTTTATATATTTTTTTACATGGACTATTTAAAAATTTCTGGGTTATTTCAAGTTGGCAGCATTGAAAATATTAGAATATGTTTATATAAAACTCATTGTGGCCTTTTCCTTTTAATGTTGGAAAGTTTATAAAGCCTATGCAGTTTTAAAAAATTAAGCCATTGAGTAAATAAAAAGTTTGCTTTATTAAATTATGTTTAGATAGTGCTTATAGTGCTTTACCCCTTCAAAATAGTAACTTCTATCAATCATTTAGGATGTGTGTCAGACTATTCTGTGTCCTTTAAGTGTGTTAACTAGTTTTAACCCTCTGCAAATATCTGAGGTATGCTCTTTTTACAGATGGGAAAACAATCTTGGACTTTAATATTTTTTCTTAATGTTACACAATTAGTAAGAGGCAGGGGGCCAGGTGGAGTGGTTCATGTTTGGAATTCCAGCACTTTGGGAGGCTGAGGTGGGCAGCTTGAGCCCAGGAGTTGGAAGACTAGCCTGGGCGACATAGTAAAACCTGATCTCTGCAAAAATATTAGCCGGGTGTGTTGGTGGGTGCCTGTAGTCCGAGCTACTGGTGAGGCTGAGGTGGGAGGACCAACTGAGCCCAGGAGGTCAAGGCTGCAATGAGCTGTCATGGAGCCAGTGCACTCCAGCCTGGGAGACAGAGTGAGACCCTGTCTTAAAAAAAGGCAGCAGTAGGGTTTAAACCCCGGCATTTTGTCTTTATTGCCTCTAAACTTAACTTGCTTTAAAAGATGATAAAATGTCCCACAAAGGAGCCTAAATTCCTGAATGATACTGCATATCACTTGGATAGTTATCTATGCTGAGTTGTATAACTTTATGCTTGTCATTTAATTTTACAATTTGGTGGAAGCCAATGTGAAAGCAAGGAGACTTCTGTTGTGGAGTAGGTGTTTTAAACTGAATACCATATTCAGCCTTGGGGTGCTGAATATTTAGTTCACAGCTAGGATTAAGATACTCAACTATGTTAATAAAATACAGTAGATGAAGTCCTGCATTTTAATTGGGATTGATTCACTTAGAACTAAGGATCAAAGTTTAAACTTATTGCAGCGTTAGGGGCCATCTTTGTTGCTAGTTGAACAAGTCTTGGTCGTTTTTAACATGGCTCCTTAGGGTATTTTCTGAAGTTCTGTCTACTTCATTGGAAAGTGTTTGCACTACGCAGGAGTGACAGCAATATGAAATGCTTTGTATTCAAGGCAGCAGAGGTAATCTGGACAGACAGTACATGTGCTTTAAAAGCAAGATACAGTCATAGAAAATATGTAGATAATTTAGCCGGGCATGGTGGCTCGCGCCTCTAATTTGGGAGGCCGAGGCAGGTGGATCACGAGGTCAGGAGTTCGAGACCAGCCTGACCAATATGGTGAAACCCCATCTCTACTAAAAGTGCAAAAAAAAATTAGCCTGGCATGGTGGCATGCACCTGTTATCCCAGCTACTCAGGAGGCTGAGGCAGGAGAATTGCTTGAACCCGGGAGGTGGAGGTTGCAGTGAGCCTAGATCATGCCATTGCACTCCAGCCCGGGCGACAGAGTGAGACTCTGTTTAAAAAGAAAAAAATAAGTATTTGTAAATGTATATATATATATATATACACACACACACACACATATATATATAAAATCATTATGCCATCAGTTTGAGGGAGAGCATGTATGCCAACATTGTAGAGACTAAGTGCCCATTTATCCATAATTAAGATAAGCAGACTTTTCCCCATTGTACTATAAAGTTAGAGTTTGGGGCTGGGTATGGTAGCTTCCGCCTGTAATCCCAGCAGTTTGGGAGGCTGGAGCGGGCGGATCACTTGAGGCCAGGAGTTCAAGACCAGCCTGGCCAACGAGGGGAAACCCCGTCTCTACTAAAAATGCAAAAATCAAGTCAGGCGTGGTGGTGCAGCCTGTAATCCCTCCCACGGAGGCTGAGGAATGAGAATCACTTGAACCTGGGAGGCAGAGGTTGCAGTGAGCTGAGATTGTGCCACTGCGCTCCAGCTTGGGCGACAGAGTGAGACTGTCTCAAAAACTAAGCAACCAAAAACAGAAAAAGATGGAATGGAATTAATATGTTCCATTTAGTAAAGATGGAATAGAATTGGTCCAGTTTGTGTTCATTGTAGCATATTCACCTATTTGGTCAGCAACCATTTTTTTTTTTTTAAAGCCTAAGCATACCCTGAGAACAACAACCTTTTTTGATTAGAACAGAAGAAAAAGCCAGAGTGTTCTTGGGCTGCCAAAATATTAATACGTTTGTCTCAAAGACGAGCCACTTAGGTGCTTGCTTAGAGACTTCTACTTTACACAGAATTTGAAAAGTTTGACAGCTGGCTACTTACTCTGCAAAACGGAAGGGAGACTTTTTAGAACAGCAACTGGTGATCTGGCAAAAATGAAAAGTAGAACTTGTGAAGAAATGAGATGGACTTGGTGTATTAATAGCTAATTTTAGAAGACCCTGTGGATATTCTAAATCAGCATAATAGTGATGTCTGAGCCATAGTGTTAAATTATGATTACTGTATTTGAAGTATAAGAAGGCAGAAAAGTGTGATGCTGTTAGAAAAAAATCTCATTTCAAATGATTGAAGGTTAAAAACAATTGGGGAAAGATTAGAGAGGGCAGGCGGTGCTTTAAGGGAGGTGGAATAATACTTGGCTCCTTATTCTCCAAAAGTGCTGGATAGCTGAAGTTTTTAATATTCTGGATAATTGATATTTGATTATTAGTTTAGGAGGGATAGCATCTTCAGTGAACCCTTGTAGCTCTAAGGTAGGCATATTAAACAACTACCATACTAAAGGTGGGGAGTACGTTTGGAGAGCACTTTGCTGGGCCAGCTGATGATATGCTTAGGTGATATTTAAGAAAATCTGCTTCTTGTCTGAAAAACATTTGGGGCTTCAGAATAATACCACATACCTCATTCTTGGTGTTTTAATTTATTTCTTTGTAATTGTTTTCTGTTTCTTAATAATTTTAAATTAAGGGTATTTTCCCAATATAAACATTGCTTTTTGGTTAAATAAAATCAAAACTAGTTCTGTCTCCATATCTGAATAGACCAGACAGAGAATTTTCTTGCCTTTCAACAGCTTAAAAAATGTTTTTGTTAGAACTGTTGTGTTCAGGCTGAAATACTTTCAAAGTTTGTTAGTTATTATTGAGAAATTTCTGTAATAATCATGGAAAGGGTAATTTAATAGTTAAATCTCAACTTAATTGAAGTTATTTCTGTTGTGGAACTTATGGTCATCTTAGCAAGAGGTCATTGCTTTATAGTCAGTTCTCTTTCTCATTAAAAATATAGTGTACTCACCTTTACAGGGTGAATGTTGGTAAATAACTTCTGTCTGTGAAGGAAGTATTCTGGACCTGTAAGTTAAAAATAAGGTGTTTATAGCAAATTATGTAAATAAAGATTGTATATTAGAAGGTACACACTATTCAAATTAAAGAAAATGTATATTGAGAAAATAACTCAAATTTCTTCCATGAAATTGGCAAGAAGTAAACATTTCAAATACACAAAACATTATGGGTATTTTTGTTCATTTGATTATAAAATGCCAAAGTTGTTTTATAAATGCTACTTCAAGCCTGGAAACTTTGAGGAAGTCCTGAACATTAAGCATATAAATGGCCCAGCTCTAGAATACATGTAAGTTGAAAAGCTAACCTGAAGTGGGAAGCGCAGTATATACCTAAGACTTACTCTGCACTGAAAGTTTGCTTTGTCACTAGAAGTAAAACAAGACTGTGGTAGGATAGTAAGATCAGTAACACCTCAGTTAATCAGGTATCTTGGAGGAAGTGAAGAAAGACCCTAATTCAAGGGACAGTTAATTGGCCTTTTATTCCAAGAATGGGCCTTAGTGGCAGTATCTTAAAAGCCCACAAGATGGAGATGTTTCCTAATGAAAGGCCTTTAATTTCTTTATAGAGCTGAGTTAGTGTCACATCCCAGTCCCCACCCATGACCCTTCCCCAGTTAAAAAGAAGAGAAAATGTTGAGCAAGTCTGATTTGATTCCCATGGTGACATTTTTAGCCATTATGTAACAAATTCTGACAGTTTACCCTTAAAATTAAAAACCTCCAGTCCTGTCTTTTTAAAGGGTAGAAAGAAGGTTAGGTATAGGATAGCTTTTTATTTATTTATTTATTTATTTTTGTACAAAGGGAGCCTATGTAAAGCTGCCAGATCTGAACTTTCTGGTGTTTTGCTGTAATGTTAGTAAGATTTCGCCTTAAAATATTTTATTTTGAGTATATACGTTTGGTCTTAGAGTGTCTTGGTGGATTTCCGCTTACCACCCATCACTTTCTGCATTTTAAAGGCTTAAATACTTTATTGCTGGTTAACTGAGGTTCTACTGTAAACGAATCATCTAAGTTAATTAGTGGATTGTACTTCAATGGATAATTTTCACTAAATTGTTTATATTGCACATTACTTTTGTCTTAAGGACTCTTAGCACATCAAAAAAATTGGCTCACAACTTAATTGTGAGATGTAGAATTTTCCATTTTATGTGCTAAGAGTTTTGTTAATGAGAGAACTGTTAAAATAGAAAAGGAGCTTCAGCATAGACACCAATGCTGGTTGCTGAGATCAGTGGGGAACTGCATAGCATTTTAACAAGTTTAATGAACATTTGGAAGAGAAATTTGAAGCTAAGATTCTGGTTTTTTTGCTGTTAACTTTTTAATCTAAGGAAAACTTTTATGTACAGTATTTTTACTTTGGGTATATGTTTATCTTTTAGCAAGTTGAAAGACTTAATTTGCTGCTTGCTCACTATTTTGTAATTATTTGGGAGCAGCAGTAATAAGCCAGCTTTTTGGAATAGGATGTTCCTGATGTGTGGTTATGTAGGAAGAATGATGTTTTAATATACTGCCCAGTAAACTGGTGCAGTTTGGAAAAGGTGTGTTATTGATGTGGATAATATTTAAGGCAATTTTTTTTAAGCATTTTAATACTGCTTTTTGTCTTTACAGGAAAATGTTTATAGGAGGCCTTAGCTGGGACACTACAAAGAAAGATCTGAAGGACTACTTTTCCAAATTTGGTGAAGTTGTAGACTGCACTCTGAAGTTAGATCCTATCACAGGGCGATCAAGGGGTTTTGGCTTTGTGCTATTTAAAGAATCGGAGAGTGTAGATAAGGTAGTGTGTTACGTGTTCTGATCAGTTAATAATATAAAATATTAACATATGGATAGTTTGATACAATGAGTTTGCCTATTTGTGGTTCCCCATTTTGATAGTATAGGAAGGAAGAATAGTTCTTGCCCCAATACGTTTTATGAAGATAGAGGTAGGTTCAGGAATTATTTCCTGAATAATTTGTGTTCCAGGCTCTGCTAAATTTTGAAATTAACTTTAAAGATACTATAGACTTAAAGATGCCTAGTTAAAAGGATGTGTTTTAGCAATTCACAGAAGTCCATATTTTGAAATTTTGTTAGGCAAGCAACTTTTAACTGAATCATTATTTTGATCCTGGGCTAAAGGGAAGTAGCAGTTATGTTTGTATATAGTGCTAAAGGGAAGTAGCAGTCATGTTTGTATATATTGAAGGTAATGGTTATCTAGTAATTGGTTAAATTTGTGTATGTCCTACCATTCTTACCTTTAGATTTAAACAGTATATGTTAGTTGATGTTACATCACCACCATGACTTGACAGTTTAATCTTGAGCAAGTCAACATATGCTTGGCATTATCTGTATTTATAGTTATTTTTAAGTAAGTTAATAGTCTCTGAACTTCAGTTAAGATATATATTTTTTAAATGAAAACTTCAATTTCCTTAGGTCATGGATCAAAAAGAACATAAATTGAATGGGAAGGTGATTGATCCTAAAAGGGCCAAAGCCATGAAAACAAAAGAGCCGGTTAAAAAAATTTTTGTTGGTGGCCTTTCTCCAGATACACCTGAAGAGAAAATAAGGGAGTACTTTGGTGGTTTTGGTGAGGTATGTTATAAATGTTTTGACCCAGTTTATGTCAAAATTAGTGTGAATGTGATTGTCCCATTATGGACTCAGAGTCACTTGGCTTTTCAAAGCTGTTAGGGTAGATTATGTGATCTGTTTTGGAATAAGGATATTGTAAATACTTCATTAGCAGGTCTTTGAAGGTTGGATAATGTGTTTTTCTCATTGAGCACCTACTCTATGCAGAGTATTGCTGGGGTAGAGTATACAAAGATGAAATAGACAAACATTCTTAAATACAGACAATTAAGAGGAAGAAATCTAGATTAGAAGGAGACTTTTGTTGAAAATAGGAAAGGAATTAAGAATAGGGTGTAGTGCCTTATCAGTTGAAATGCATGTGTAAGTGCAAATTTAATGAGACTAATCATTATAGACTCATTAGTGAGGCTGGACGCGATGGCTCATGCCTGTAGTAATCCCAGCACTTGGGAGGCCGAAGTGGGTGGATTACTGGAGACCAGGAGATGAAGACCATCCTGGACAACATAGTGGGACCCCGTCTCAATTAAAAGTAAAACAAACTTAGACTCATTAGTGAAATAGGTAGATAATAGAGGTTTCTTTTATGAATTAATGAAAGTTGAGAAATTTGTGGCCTTGGGCTCCAGATACGTCCCACAGACATTTATTGCTTGATTGAAACAATAAGTGCTTTTTTAGTGTTGAGGATTTGAGATATTGCCCACAAAACTCAGTATCTAGCTTTTTAAAAAATACTTGCAAGAGCACGCAACATGGGAACTGACGCTGCCCTCCTGTACGGCAGCATCTCTCAAACTGAGTAGTAGCTTCCATCTTGGTTTGGGCATATGCTCTCCAGTTTTTAGTAGTCCTCACCACCCTACTTCCTGTTTTCTCTCAAATACATTTTTATTCTGTTTTTCTTAGATTTGACTGTTTTCTTCTTGTTCTTTGTGGGCATTTGAATTTGTGACCCTTGAGTTAGGTAGTAAATGTCAGTGCGTGGTAAAGCTTATTTTTGTAAATAGTTGTGAAGACCTTAGATGGAATGGGTGTTCTAATTTGAAGAATTCCTTAAAAGGATTAGAATAAATAGGGAGAAACAGGAGACTAGAACTTCAGTGCCAAATACATGTTTTCTTTGTGTGTTTTCCCCCCTCTAAACTTGTGTTTCTTTTAAGGTCAATAAAATGCATGTTAGCATATTAAAATTTGTTTTTTAATACCAGGTGGAATCCATAGAGCTCCCCATGGACAACAAGACCAATAAGAGGCGTGGGTTCTGCTTTATTACCTTTAAGGAAGAAGAACCAGTGAAGAAGATAATGGAAAAGAAATACCACAATGTTGGTCTTAGTAAAGTAAGTTAAGCATCCATTTACTTGTAGAGAAAACTAGCTGTTGTAAAGAGCTTAACCATTTATCTTTCTCTGTAAAGGCTTAAGTTCTTTGCATGCTTTAAAAACTTCTCATTGGTTACTTACCATTGACCAACTTTTTGTGGGGAGCAGGATGGACACATTTGTTAGTGTTTTTGTCTAGGCTTTCACAAAAATAGTTTTTAGAACTTGACAAGTAAAATGAAGTAACATCACTAGCAAGTACTCATAAGTGATTACTCTTAAGTACTAAATATTGGTTTAATTAATAAACTGACTGAGGAAAGTTTCAAATTAGCCTACTCTATTTAAACATGTTGGCTATTCTGGTTATTAGAAACTTATTTAGCAACTTTTATTTTCTTGAGTCAGTTTAATAATGTAATTTTTCTCTTTTAGTGTGAAATAAAAGTAGCCATGTCGAAGGAACAATATCAGCAACAGCAACAGTGGGGATCTAGAGGAGGATTTGCAGGAAGAGCTCGTGGAAGAGGTGGTGGTAAGCTAGAGCCTAAGTTTACTCTATCTTAAGCTTTTCTGCTTTTTAATTATCCTGAAGTAAAGATCTTTGCTGATCTTCTGACTTTAGTGAACCTATTAATGTGCTGCAGGCCCCAGTCAAAACTGGAACCAGGGATATAGTAACTATTGGAATCAAGGCTATGGCAACTATGGATATAACAGCCAAGGTTACGGTGGTTATGGAGGATATGACTACACTGGTTACAACAACTACTATGGATATGGTGATTATAGCAGTAAGTACTATACTTTTTATATTAACTGCTATTTGACATTTATTTTGTACAAATTTGGATAGGCAGAAAGGTTAGTGTAGCCTTGCCAAGTGCAAATGTCTTCAGGTTTCAAATTCCTGGAAACTTGAAACTGCAGCCATTTTATTGCTTGGTTCCTCCCAGCCTATATCACACACACATTATAAGGGTAGGGTGTATGTGTGGTTCTATATATGTTTGCTGGGCATTTGTTTTACTTGGATTTAAAAATTTTAAGCTCAGTTCAGATCTTTTAAGCTCAAGGTATTCTAAATGTCACTTCTTGGACCAACCAATAATCTTGGCATGATGTGTCTTAATCCTATAAAACTGAATAATACCACATGTTGCCAGTTAAAACTAATAGTATCCTCGCTTTAGGATTATTAATGTAGAAACTCTTAAAACAGATGTTGAGCTTGATAGAACCAAAAAACTTGACTTTTAGACATGGAAAGCCCTGACTTCATTGTGCAACTAAGGTAGTTGCTCTCCACCTGATTTGTAGCAACTGTTGAGTCGTCAGGTAAAGGGTTCTACTAGAAGCAATCTTACATTTTTTTGGAGGAGAGTGGTTGCATTGGTTGCATTGTTTTAAGTGGTTTTTCTTTTCCTTCCTTGGTTAGACCAGTTCTTGGAGTTATATCCTTTCTTAGGTGACTAGGCCTGCTGCACAATAATAGGTTAATTAAAGTCAGAAGAAGGTCAGCAAAGATGGATTGGGTGAGATTGGGGCCCTTTTCTTAGAAGGGCAGAGATACTAAGCACTGATTGTGGTTGACAATTTGTTCTAAATTTTAAGATATTTTTTGCTGGTGGTTGTGAAAGGGTCAGCTGTCCATCCTTTGAAACTTAAAACTTTTAAACTGTAAGGGTGAGGGGATTGTCTCCCATTTTATACAATAAGTCAAGTAATCAGCTCATTCTGAATGCCTGCCATTGTATGCATTCACTACATATTTGGTAAATTATTTGATAAATGATTGCTCAGGGTGAATTTTTCACACTTGGGAATTAAGCTACCCTTAATTTTTTGAGATTGTTTAAAATTAGGTACTGTTCTGATTATTAGTATGTAACCACTACCGTTCTGGTTCTAACACTTGTTTTATTTTAGACCAGCAGAGTGGTTATGGGAAGGTATCCAGGCGAGGTGGTCATCAAAATAGCTACAAACCATACTAAATTATTCCATTTGCAACTTATCCCCAACAGGTATGTTCTAAAAATAGTTTTTTTTTGTCATTTACAATAGTAGTTTTTATAATCTATATTGTTCATAAAACAATGCTTAATTTAAGAGTTTCACAGCACCCAGAAGTGCTTACCATATTATAACATAGTGACTTTCAAAGATATGTAACACAGGTGCTCTTAAGCTTTTGCCTTTTTGTCCTATTATTAACAAGTCAGTAAAGTTAACAGGTAAAGTACTGCTAATGGGTACAAATTAAGGAATTGCAGCAAAAAAGTATTGCCTACTAACTCTGACATTATACCTTGTTTGTACCCGCCAGCGGGAACTTCATTGCAGGCCCTGTGTCGCGCTGACTTCACGATTCTCACAGGCCCGCTCAATGCGGACAGGGTACGAGATGCTCACGCTCTCGAATGCTGCCGTTTGGTATGGTCTCTTCCAACATCCTGTATCAGCATTATAAAATAAAATGGATACTTCAAGCTTTGCCTTCACTTATTTCTTTGCTTTTTAAAAACTATTTGTAATGTAATTTTAATGCATTTTTTACAGGCCCAGTAATGGTTAAATACGTCAGCTTACTGAATAATTTTAACTATTTATTCTTCTAAGGATACAGCTTGTCTCTGGATTTTCCAGTCTTAATTTTATATTTTATTAATCTATTTTAATGCTTGCTTTTCCCATTTATAGACGTTGTAGCAGTAATTGCAAGAAGTTCTTGAGCTGAATTCCTGTTGTGACAACTTCCTATAATTACAGTAGATAACTTTTTCTTTTAGTCGTATATAACTTTTCTATAACTTGTGATGGACAAGAGATATGCTTATCCAATAAAATAAGCTTAAATATTAGATGCTCTTGGGTCAAAATGTCCTTTTACCAAATTGACCTTTTTATGAGTTCTTTGGGTAAATACTTTAAAGCTTTTTATATTTTAAAGAATACTTGTAAAAGCATATCACATCTTAAACCAGTGGTGCACATGTGGATTTACAGCTCATGGACTCTACTGTTCAGCTTTAATTTA
Source organism: Homo sapiens (assembly GCF_000001405.40). NCBI lineage: Eukaryota > Metazoa > Chordata > Mammalia > Primates > Hominidae > Homo > Homo sapiens. The sequence goes on along the minus strand of NC_000004.12, from coordinate 82,354,290 downwards.
TAAAACATATCACACATTTAATGTTATACAGTATTTACATATAGTGGAACATAGGGATAACTCAGTTTTATGTAAATTTTTGTTAAGTGTTGTAGCCTGCCCAGAGTGACTTCTATTTTTTCTTCTTTGTCTCCAGGTGGTGAAGCAGTATTTTCCAATTTGAAGATTCATTTGAAGGTGGCTCCTGCCACCTGCTAATAGCAGTTCAAACTAAATTTTTTGTATCAAGTCCCTGAATGGAAGTATGACGTTGGGTCCCTCTGAAGTTTAATTCTGAGTTCTCATTAAAAGAAATTTGCTTTCATTGTTTTATTTCTTAATTGCTATGCTTCAGAATCAATTTGTGTTTTATGCCCTTTCCCCCAGTATTGTAGAGCAAGTCTTGTGTTAAAAGCCCAGTGTGACAGTGTCATGATGTAGTAGTGTCTTACTGGTTTTTTAATAAATCCTTTTGTATAAAAATGTATTGGCTCTTTTATCATCAGAATAGGAAAAATTGTCATGGATTCAAGTTATTAAAAGCATAAGTTTGGAAGACAGGCTTGCCGAAATTGAGGACATGATTAAAATTGCAGTGAAGTTTGAAATGTTTTTAGCAAAATCTAATTTTTGCCATAATGTGTCCTCCCTGTCCAAATTGGGAATGACTTAATGTCAATTTGTTTGTTGGTTGTTTTAATAATACTTCCTTATGTAGCCATTAAGATTTATATGAATATTTTCCCAAATGCCCAGTTTTTGCTTAATATGTATTGTGCTTTTTAGAACAAATCTGGATAAATGTGCAAAAGTACCCCTTTGCACAGATAGTTAATGTTTTATGCTTCCATTAAATAAAAAGGACTTAAAATCTGTTAATTATAATAGAAATGCGGCTAGTTCAGAGAGATTTTTAGAGCTGTGGTGGACTTCATAGATGAATTCAAGTGTTGAGGGAGGATTAAAGAAATATATACCGTGTTTATGTGTGTGTGCTTATTTGTTTGAATGATTTTATTTTCCATTTCTCAAAGGTTTTATTTTTTTGGTTAGGGCCTTAAAATTTCAGGACTGTGATTATTAGTATGTGTGCCTAAGGAACTTTTTGAGTCACTCTTAAGAAAGTGAAACTGAAGAGTCTAAGTGATAACTATAGGATTAAGTCAGAATTGTTTTTCCTGTCATTTGTTGGAAGCTTCTTGAGTTCTGTTATTAGCATTCAGGGAATTGATACCCATCAACTTGAATGGAAAATCGTTTGTAGGTATTACTTAAGTGAATGTTAAGAGTTCCACCCTGAGTGGTAATCTAAGGCTGTGCAGTCAGTTACTTCAGACTGCTCAGAATAGTTCATTAGAAAGGTAACAAATGAGAAATGTATTATTATACAGTTCTATAGTAGTGAAGTGATGGAATACCTTTCTTACTTTTGTGGAGTTACATCTGATGCTAAGAATTTGACCTCCAACTAAGCAAACATTTTAATGAGCAAAAGTTAGTGTTATTAAAGTTTTTTTATGATAGATCCAAATTGAGGACCTGTGTCCTGTTTTTATAAGATTGCAACCCAGCTATGCTCATTTGTTTATGTTTTGTATATGGCTGCTTTTGTGTTACAGTGGTAGAGTTTAGTAGTTAGGACAGAGACCTGCAAAGCAAAATAATTTACAGTCTGGCCCTTTACAGAAAAGTTTGCTGACTCATGGTCAAAATAAATGAAAATTTTTTGTGTTAGGGTTGTTAAGCTAGGGTTCTTTTTGGTATCATATGCTTATTTTATGTAAATCTCTCAATAAAAAATTATTTTTAAGAGACAGGGTCTCCCTCTGTCGTTCATGCTAGAGTACAGTGGCTCACTGCAGCCTCCAACTCCTGGGCTCAAGTGCTCCTCATTAGCCTCCTCAGTGATTGGGACTACAGGCGCATACCACTGTGCCCAACTAATATTTTTATTGTTTGTAGAGACAGGGTCTTGCTATGTTCCCCAGGCTGGTCTTGAACTCTTGGCCTCAAGCAATCCTCCTCCTCCTTCGGCCTCCCAAAGTGCTGGGATTATAGGCATAAACCACCGTGTTCGGCCTTCACATCAAAAACTTTATAAATGTGCGGGGAGGGGGTAAAAACAGATTGAATTAAAACCAGGTTTAGTGTGACTAAAAACATGCTACCAGATTAATTTTGATTGTTGTGTTAAAATGTTTACAAGCTGCACTTTTGGCAGTTAATTAGTACTAAATGAGAGACACTACTTAGATTTAATTTTAAGGATTAATTTTGGAGATCAAACCCATTCTTGAAAAAAACTTGTAACCCGATTTTTGTACTGTTTTGTTTCTGTATGTCTGACTCATTTAAATTGCAATTCTCAGAGCCGTTTCTAGCAGTACCTCTTGGCCTAGATAATTTTCTGTCCAGCAGACACTGATTTTCAAACGGTAACAAGAATTGAAAAAAGATTTTTTATATACATTAATTTGGTAATTAGTTTCATGTTTTTCTTGATGGTTTTCTGTGTTCTAATCTGAACTGTTTGCCCTTTTTGAATTGTTGAGTAACTGTTGAGTTGGGGCTTTGCCATTGTTCTGGGTTTCCCTTTGCCTCTCAATTTATGATCTGTTTCCTAGATCTATGGCTTTGTTGGTTTGGTGTAGGATATCTTCCAATAGGTTAGAGACCTTCCTGTCTGTAAAGTTCTATTTTGCATTGGATTACTAAGTTTAGCTATGTAGAGAATTCAGGTTTGGTGAAGAAATTTATTTTATTTGTTTTTGAGACAGCATCTCACTCTGTTGCCAGGCTGGAGTGCAGTGGTGCGATCTCAGCTCACTGCAACCTCTGCCTCGTGGGTTCAAGCGATTCTCCTGCCTCAGCCTCCTTAGCAGCTGGGACTACAGGCCTGTGCCACCATGCCCAGCTAGTTTTTGTATTTTTAGTAGAGACGGAGTTTCACCATGTTGGCCAGGATGGTCTCAATCTCTTGATGCTGTGATCCGTCCGCCTCGGCCTCCCAAAGTGCTGGGATTACAGGTGTGAGCCACCATGCCTGGCCAGAAATTTATTTATTTTTTTTATTTTTGAGACGGAGTTTTGCTTTTGTTGCCCAGGCTGTAGTGCAGTGGCATATCGGCTCACGGCAACCTCCGCCTCCTAGATTCAAGCAATTCTTCTGCCTCAGCCGCCTGAGCAGCTGGGATTACAGGTGTGTGCCACCAGGCTCGGCTAATTTTTTTTTTTTTTTTTTTAGTAGATAATGGGGTTTCACCATGTTAGGCTGGTCCTGAACTCCTGACCTCAGGTGATCCACCTGACTTGGCCTCCCAAAGTGCTGGGATTACAGGTGTGTGCTACACTGTTCTTTGACCCAGAAATTTATTTTAAATCTTGGTCTTACATATGGAATCTTTCTTAACGCTGAAATCACTTGGAATTTTACCATTGTTCTTATGGTTCACAACTGTATCTTGGGTTTATTTAATACATTGTACTGGTCACTCACTGAATCTTGTCATTGTATAAACTTGCTCTTCAGATACGGGAAATATTACTGAACTGATTCTTCTTTCCCCATCTACCATCTCGATCTTTGTTCTCTGGAATTCTTGTTTGGGTATAAGCCCTGGACATGTGTTTCTGTTAATTTAATCTTTCTCAATTTTTGTAGATACCAGGTCTTGCTATGTTTCCCAGGCTGGTCTTGAACTCTTGGCTTCCCAAAGTGCTGGAGTTACAGGCATGTGCCACTGCACCTTGCCTAATTGTCAACTTTTAAAAACATCCCAAAATTTAAGTTGTGTTAGTTTCTTTTTTGGGTGTGGGTGTGTGTGTGGGGTGGAGTTCTCTCGTCGCCCAGGCTGGAGTGCAGTGGCACTATCTCGGCTCGCTGCAACCTCTGCCTCCTGGGTTCAAGCGATTCTCCTGCCTCAGCCTCCCAGGTAGCTGGGACTACAGGTACACACCACCATGCCCGGCTTATTTTTGTATTTTTAGTAGAGACAGGTTTCACCATCTTGGCCAGGCTGGTCTCCACCTCCTGACCTCAGGTGGTCTGTCCGCCTCAGCCTCCCAAAGTGCAGGGATTACAGGCGGGAGCCACCGCGCCTGGCCAATTGTGTCAGTTTCTAAGACCACCCCCTCATCTGTTATAAATAAATATCAACATACCTTTTTCTTATCTCTAAGGTTATTAATGATAACCTGTTTAAAAGTTTGTTTCCAAGATGCTTTGTTTTCCTGTTGCTTTGGCTTCTGGTTTTCATGTTAGAAAATTTCTTCAGGTGTTTGGTGATCCTTGGGTCATATTTAGGAGTGGAACATTTTAAATGCTAATTGAATGTTATGTGTGTGGGTCTGGCAGGGTGCTTTTCAATCACTGGCTTCACTGTTGGGTGGTATGGCTGTGTCATTTTATTGAGAAATCACTTGATACATTTCCTTGTTTTGTTTTCTGAAGCTGGTCATGCTTACCAGAGGTGTCTTACTCTCCTCCCTAAAGGATAAGAAAAGGTGGTCAGTTTCTGATCCCAGTGGAAAAAGAAGTTGAGGGATCTCAAAAAGTAAACTGTTTATTTTCATCACTGTGCCTATTCAGTCCAACAGCTCTTTTCTAACTTGCTTAAGAGAGTACATCTCCAGTTTTCTGCCAGGGTTCAGGAGTCAATTGCCAGCAGTATAGAGGATCTGGAGGTTTAACTAATTGTTAAGCGACTTTGAATCGATCTTTTGACCTGTTTCATCTATGTTTCTACAGGTATTTGGACTGCCAATTCCTAAATCTTTGCGGGGAGTCAGGGTGTTCTGTGGTGTAATCTGTGATATCCACACTGCTGACAGCTGGCAGAATATTGTTTTTTTCCTTCCTTCTTTCTTTTTTTTTTTTTTTTTTTTTTTTTTTTTTTTTTTGAGACAGAGCCTCACTCTGTTGCCCAGACTAGAGGGCAGTGGCACGGTCTTGGCTCCCTGCAACCCCCACCTCCTGGGTTCAAGCGATTCTCCTGCCTCAGCTTCCCAAGTAGCTGGGACTAGAGGGATGCGCCACCAGGCCTGGCTAATTTTTGTATTTTTAGTAGAGATGGGGTTTCACCATGTTGGCCAGGCTGGTCTCGAACTCCTGAAATATTATCCCCCCCATTCCCCAGTTTTTTTAGATAACTCGTTTTTAGTGTGACTTCAGAAGAGACTGGGCATGACACAGATTATTTTTTGTAGCTTTTTTGTGTAGGTGGGTGATTGGTGTAAGGTTTAGGAGAACAAAAAAGGACAGGTAAATCAATATTAACAGGGAGCTCGGTACCCCTGCTTCTAGAATTTGACCAACAAAGTGAAATTTACAAGTAGTTTGCTGGTTTATTATCAAATTAACCTGTGTTTACTAATGGGTAGTGTCATGTAGCTTTGATCTCAATTCTCAAAACGGTTTTGTAGACTCTGGTTGGAATCCCACTTTTTCTCAAGTAATGAGCTTTCTAGGTCTGTTGTTCTGAATCAGATTTTGATACCTTTTGGTTTAGTAGGTGTCTGCTACCAGGTGAGTTAATTTCTCTTCCTTGGGTCCTGGGTTTCCTTTTTTGTCTGTTTCTTTCCTAACCTTCGATGTGTATAGGGTTGCAAGTCATGTAAGCATAATACTCTTTACATCCTGGGATAGTATTTGCTTCTTTGTACTTGGTTGTGCACAGTTGAGAATACAGTGTGGGTGTGGAACACCTGTCCAGGTGCCAGTTCATGCTGACAGTTTTGAAAGGTAGTCTCATTAGAATCCAGTTATTAAGCCTGTCTGTTGTATACATGAGAAACTAATTTAGTCTCTGCTTTTACTATTTTAGTGCTTGGGAAAGTTTCTTTTTGTAATTAAGACTAGTACTTTAAACGTATGTTTAGGGCCTTTGAGGTATTAGGAATTTTGGAAACTGGAAAGATACAATCTTTCTATCACAGTATTTGTGTTGATCCTGAAATGTCTGAGTTTATTTTGTTTGGAGTGAGTTTAACCTGAAATGTCAAAACCTAGATCCATAATATAGCATCACATCTCAATAAATTTATTTGGAAGCAGTTTCTTAATAGTGCAGTTTATCAATGAACTAACATTTAAGGATGACCCTAAACTATCATAAAATTTGATTTTTTTTGAAAGCTACCTTTCCTTTTTTTTTTTGGTGGGGGGGGGGGTGGAGAAAGGGTCTTGCTCTGTCGCCCAAGCTGGAATGCAGTGATGTGATCACAGCTCACCTCAGCCTCAACCTGGGCTCAAGCGATCCTCTCACCTCAGCCTCCTGAGTTGCTGGGACTGCAGGCAAGCACCACCACATCCAGCTTATATATATATATATATATATATATACTTTTTTTTTCTTTTTTTTTTTTGAGACTGAATCTCACTTTATTGTCCAGGCTGGAGTGCAGTGGTGTGATCTTGGCTCATCAAAACCTCCGCCTCCCGGGTTCAAGTGATTCTCCTGCCTCAGCCTCCTGAGTAGCTGGGACTACAGGTGCACGCCACCACATCCGGCTGATTTTTGTATTTTTAGTAGAGACGGGGTTTCACTGGATTGGTCAGGCTGATCTTGAACTCCTGACCTGGTGATCTGCCCGCCTCAATCTCCCAAAGTGCTGGGATTGTGTGAGCCACCTCGCCCGGCCCAGTTTATTTATTTTTTTTTTTCATTTTTATTTTTTGAGACGGAGTCTCGGCTCTGTCTCTCAGGCTGGAGTGCAGTGGCGCAATTTTGGCTTACTGCAACCTTTGCCTCCCAGGTTCAAGCTATTCTCCCGCAGCCTCCCGAGTAGCTGGGATTACAGGTACACACCACCACACCTGGCTAACTTTTGTATTTTTAGTAGAGACGGGGTTTCACCATATGACCAGCCTGGTCTCAAACTCCTGAGCTCAGGTGATCCGTCCACCTCAGCCTCCCAAAGTGCTGGGATTACAGGTGTGAGCAATTGCACCCGGCCTAATTTTTGAAATTTTTTGTAGAGATGGGGTCTTACTGTGTTGCTCAGGCTGGTCTCCAACTCCTGTGCTCAAGTGATCTGCCTGCCTCGGCCTCCTGAAGTGCTGGGATTACAGGCGTGAGCCACTGTGCCCAGCCTAAGATACCTACTTTTGATAGGGTTGAGAAGGGTATATCCTTTCTTTAATACTAGCCATATTCAAACTGTTACTAGGCATAGTTAGGAGTCGCCTGAAAATTTCCATGGGTAAAATGATTCTAGCAAGATAAATATTCAGTTGTGCAAATGGAGTCCGCTTGTCCTGTTAGTTGGTAACAGTTGCTTTTAATCTGGTAAATTGGGTAAGGGTTGATTATAAGCTGGTTGGCATTTCAAAGAGGCTTGTAGGCATCTATATCAGAATCACTTAGAATTGTTTGGGAGTGTTGCCTGGGATTCTGTATTTCACATACACCATGTGATTTTTTTTTTTTTTTTTTTTTTTTTTGAGACGGAGTCTCACTCTGTTGCCCACACTGGAGTGCAGTGGCACGATCTCAGCTCACTGCAATCTCTGCCTCCCGGGTTCAAGTGATTCTCCTGCCTCAGCCTCCCAAGTAGTTGGGATTACAGGCTCCTACCACCATGCCTGGCTAATTTTTGTATTTTTAGTAGAGACAGGGTTTCACCATGTTGGCCAGGCTGGTCTTGAACTCCTGACCTCAGGTGATCCGCCTGCCTCGGCCTCCCTGTGTGCTGGGATTACAGGCGTGAGTCACCGCCCCTGGCCTCCAAGTGATCTTAATTGCATACTAATGTGTTAAGGACTTTAATGTGTTAACTCTTTAAGATAGAGTTAAACACACTGTTTCCTAAGGGTTTGTTTTTACATCTTCTGTAAAAACAAAGGTATATGTTTTACTAAACCAGCATTTTAGTTGTGGACCCTAAGTCTACCTTGAAAAAAAAAATGATATGATTTTTAACATTCTAATGAGTACAAGATGACAGTGAACAACAGTAATGTACCAAGTCAGGGAAAGTAGGTGGTGGGGGTGGCTACAGGCTGGGAACATGGTGAGTTGCTTGGTATTGTTTTAAAATTCTCTACAGCCAATACACTCCCCTTATTGTCTGTATCTTGCCTCTGCCCTGATCTTAGCCATCCATTGCATTATTATGAATTGGTAATCAACAACTCTGATAGAAATTGACTTGCTATTTTCTCTAATTGGGCTGGTTATATATTGCCCTATTGTCCTTAGCGCCTTTTCGATTCTCAAGAAGGTTGCATAATTCCAGCAGCCTTCCATGTAAATGGCAGTAGTATAGAGTAGCTGAGATAAAGAATAGTCTCCAGGGGACTGACTATATAATATAGGAAGTTGAAGCAGTAGGGTAGTTCCTAAATGTTAATAAATTTCCCCCAGTAAGCCCTGTAAAGGCAGGGAATTGGAGCGGGGGGTGGGGGGTAGGGGGCAGGTGTTCTCCCAAGGGCAAGGAGAAAGGACCTTACAAAATTATTGTATTAAAGTCTGAAATGCTTTATAGGATTTAGAGCCTAAGTAGGAGCATGGTGTTCTTGTAATAGCAATCCAAATCTGTTATTTTAGTTGTTAAGGGAGAAATTCTTTAAAAGTCTTCAAAGAAATTAGAGATAGGCATTAATTTATTAAACAGTGATAATAGAGGTTATTGGAATCTATTTTGGGAAACTTTAAGTCATTTGGTATTGGGAAGAGAGTACTTCAAGGTTAATTTGTATAAATTTAATTTTGTTATAAGAGGCTGTACTCTGTTTGCACTCTAGAATTAGGAAGGTTACTTTCCTGACTTTTGTATTTCTCAGGAAAAAAAGAATTGGAAGAAACTTAAGAGGTCTGTTAATGCCAGTACCTAAACGTGACATTTAACATGGCATGGAAGCTATGCTTTGAATAAACACTTGAGAAAAGGAATTACATAATTTCTTTTTTGTTGTATGGATGGCTTTGGATTATACAGAGCTTAACATTTATATAAAACACCAGTCTGAGACTGATGAAGTGAAAACCTTTTTATTATAAAATAAAAATTGGAAGAATGGCATTTTATTACAGTATAGTTAAGAGATTGGCTAAGGCAGTAAATAAAACTTAGAAATGCTCAAATTTATTGTAAATTGCTTTTATAATCATTGATATATAAAGCATGCTACTGCTAATCAATTAGTTTTATGTATTAAGACCTATCAGCATGTCTTTTTTTTAGTATCTGGTTGACTTAAACATGATGTTCTCTGTACCATTTAACATTTTCAAGACATATTCTCCCCAAGCAAATTCTGTTGGAACCAAGTGTTTCCAGTTCTAGAAGTTTACTTCTAGAGTCTTCATATGAAATTTACAGTTGGGCTTTCATAGGGTTTTAATTTGCACTGAATCCTTCCTTCTGAAAGATGACTTATGTTTAAAGTATAATGTAGCAGTGCTTTTGTCTTACAATTAAACTCTTACAGCACTCATGCATTTTTTGCACTGTCTGTTTTTTTTGACTTAAGCTTTTTTCTCTTGAATGAATACCTTTAACATAGAACTTATTAGTTGAAAAGGTAAGGCAACTACTGGAATGTTAACACATCACATAAAATTTTTAAATGATGGGATTGTTTGGAAAGTTAGCTTATGCTAAGGAGCAATTTCCAGCTTTCTTCGGAATGTTTATGAGGCAGGGTATTGAGGGCAGGAAGATTTTTTGGGGATGTTCAATCTTTGTAATCTGCTGGGCTTGCTATCAAATGTGAGACCACTACAAGTGCTGGTAGGCATTTACCATTTTATGTTACAACATTTTTGGAAAATGGTAAATTGAATTTGATGGCTAAGAGCAATAATGTTAGCAAAAGTACTCATTATAAATGCACTATTATTTCACTATTCCACTTTTACTTTTATGTCTCAAGAACTGTTAAAGGAATGCGGGTCACTTAGTGCTGGTCTGTTAAGAGAGAAGTCACCATTATGTTGGGTCATGATGTGGTGCTAAGCAGGTCTGCTCCTCAACAAACGACCTCTTTGTCTGTAACCAGCTTGTGATTTGCCTTTTTGTTCTAAAAAATCGGAGGCCGGCCGGGCACGGTGGCTCACGCCTGTAATCCCAGCACTTTGGGAGGCTGAGGTGGGTGGATCACCTGAGGTCAGGAGTTCTAGACCAGCCTGGCCAACATGGTGAAACCCCATCTCAACTGAAAAAAAAAAAAAAAAAAAAAAAAATTAGCTGGGCGTGGTGGCAGGTGCCGGTAATCCCAGTTACTTGGGGGGCCAAGGCAGGAGAATCACTTGAACCCGGGAGGCGGAGGTTGCAGTGAGCCAAAATCGCGCCATCGCACTCCAGCCTGAGGGAAAAGAGTGAGACTTCGTAAAAATAAATACATAAATAAATCAGAGGCCAGAATTTAATGGTTTTTGTTATTCTAGGTTCTGCCATGATTCTGTGAGATTCTCTGAGAGGCCTTGATCCTATAGTGGGATAATATAAACTTTCAAAACAACTTAAAATAATCCTTTTTAGACTTATTAAAATATGTGGGGCATTCTATTTAGCAGATTTTTAAAAGTTTCTAGTTTAATACATTCAGTGGAATAGATTATTTCAAATGAATGCTTTTGTGGCCCAGCTCTGTCATTTGCCCAGTGATATTGGGTAAATTAACCATCTCCAAGCCTCAGTTTTTCCAAGTGTAAAATTATATTACCTTTCTTAGGAATGGACATTAAATGATAGTCATGTAAAAGTGCTTGAGGTTAGCAGTTCTCGGCCTCATTGTGAGGTTAAACAAACATTTTGAGGCCCCATCCCAGGCTTATGCAGAATCCTCAGGGGTGGAGCCGAGGAACATGTATTATTAAGATCATTAGGTGACTCTGATGCTGAGAATTGAAAACCAAAGCTTCACATTTGTTGATATTAACCATGTTTAAGAGCTATGGAAATCATGCATCTGAAAATACCAAATGTTAATACTTACATGTGCTGGGCATACTGAATACAAAGAGGAGTGTGATGTGGCCAGGCTCGGGAGTAGAGACAGCCATCAACCATGATAGAAGGAGTACCCTTTCTCGAAGTTTGCCTCGGCACCCTCAGGGAACTCCCTACTTTTGCTTCTGCAGCTCTTCTGGACTTCCTTGGCTGATGAACCTTCAGGAGATTTGACACAGAAGCCCTATGATTTTGGTGACTAATTAGGAAAGAGAAGATGAGCAGAAGGGAGGAGTCAAGGTAGGCTAAGAGTTTGTAGATTACAGGATAGCTGTGATCCCATTTATTGAGATTGGAAATCAAGTCAAATAAGCAGGTTTTGTGGGGGAATGGAAGAATGTATAGTTTGGGGATCTAAACTTAAGTGTTTGCGTGGTATCCAAGTGGGTATATCTAGTAGAGAATTGGGAAATGATTTGGAATTCAGAAGAGGGGTTAGATCTGGAGAGAGCAACAGCATGGGAGTGAATAAGAGCACGTTGCAGAGTGGGAAATGAAGAGAACCCAAGACAGAGTTCTGCTGCAGGCCACTTGAATGACTGAAAGATAACATAATTGAACACCACCAATGCATAGTCCACCTTGTGCACCCCCACAGCAAGCTGTTCCTCTTACTAGTGCAGTAGACTTGGGCATTTATGCTTCTGTTTTCTCATGTGTAAAATGGAAATAACAGTAGTGCCTACATCAGGGTTGTGAGAATTAAAGAAGGATTTCTAAAGTACTTACAACAGTTACTGGAACACAAGTGCTCAATAAGTTAATTGTTATTGTTAACTGCACTGCCTTTACCTATTGATATAAATTCGATTTATGACACTTCATGGTAGAAATAAATTCGATTTCTAATAAGATCCAATTCCTATCCCACTTACAACCAATGGAATCTTCCTCAGTGATTTGAGCCTGTGTTGATCATCATCTCTTAACTTATTCTCTGCCATGCAATGTACCACTTAAATATTGATGCTGTTGCTTTAACCTGTTTATGATATTTGTTGGACTTCTTCCTTCAACTGGAATGTAAGCTTTCCTAAAGGATTAGAGATAGGCCTTAGGGTTTTTTATTTTTATTTTTTGAGATGGAGTCTCACTCTGTTGCCCAGGCTGGAGTGTAGTGGCGCAATCTCAGCTCACTGCAACCTCCGCCTCCCAGGTTCAAGTAATTCTTCCTGCCTCAGCCTCCCGAGTAGCTGGGAATACAGGTGTCTGCCACCACGCCCAGCTAATTTTTATTTTGTATTTTCAGTAGAGACAGGGTTTTCCATGTTGGCCAGGCTGGTCTTGAACTCCTGACCTCAGGTGATCTGCCTGCCTCGGCCTCCCAAAGTGCTGGGATTACAGGTGTGAGCCACTGAGCCTGACCAGGTCTTACATGTCTATATACAAACATCATTCTATTTTTTCAAACATCAGTTATTTCTATCTATGTAGTAGCTTAGGATAAACCATAATGTTTTAGAATTGTTTTGGTGCAGAGTAGGAGCTCAATACTATTTGAAAGCATAAATAGATGAAAAATCCAAGATCACTTAATATTTGTTTCTGCCAAGCTATGTTCTGACAGTTCTAGCATAAATACCAGGGAAACAATCCTTACTAGGCAGCATTCGACAGCCCATAAAAATATAAATTATCTTGAAAACTCTTAAACTCTAAAGACTGCCTTAGAAAACAAGTATTATGTAGGACTTCTTGCTTGGAACCAGGGTGATAGCCTGTGCTTTAAGCATGCTACCAGTGAAGAGAAAATCTCAAAGACACATAATTCACTTAGACTTTTGGTCTTGATATCCTAACATGTAAAGTGCAAGAGGTTAGATTAGGTGATCTTTAAGTTCACAGTTCTCTAGCAATAATTATGCTACTAACTGGTGATCAGGATACAAATATGTTTTATACATAATTTTACTTTACAGAGATGTTAAGGGGCAAGTTTTATAGGGCTTCGAAAATAACAGCAGCAAAATACATGACTATTCCTCTTCCAACTACTCTTGTCTCTACCCTGCCAAAACAACCTACTAAACTGACAAGAAGTGAAATAATACGATGTATCTTGTCTGACCCATAATTAAGGGATCTTAATTATTACTCTATGGGTTCCATGGCTATATGCCACAGTAGGGCTTATCTTAGCAGTCAGTAAAATCTTAGCTTTCCAGCTGTGTGACCTTGAACATGCCATTTAACTTTGCTATTTTCTCATCTGCAAAATAAAGCTGATAATATGAACTAACTTACACAGCACTTTTATGCCAGCCACTGTTCTGTGTGCTTTATGTGATACTCGCTTAATAGTATTATTGTAAAATTAAATGAGACACCCCTCTTCCAAGATACTTAGTACATTGTATCAGAGTAAGCAGTCAACATATCGCCTATTTTTTCCTGAGTCTGAACTACAGAAACTCCAAAGTTTCTAACATTTAAGATCCTTTAAAAAATATTTTGTGAATGGAAAGGTGGTATTGCATTGGAGGAATAATGAGCTTGGTGGCTATTTAAAATGCTGGTATTTGATCATTACCAGAATTAAAATGAGTTATCCTGAAGTCAGGATGTCTGTTCCTCAGGAATCACTAAGGGACTTATAAAACAGACTTCAGACCTCAGTTTCCCACTTGGGAAACAGAACCCATGACGCCTTGTTACTAACTGCAAAGTAAAGTTGGATGCTTTAGTTATTTGAAATCTTAATAAGTTGAGGTTACTGGAGGAAGTGTATTTTTTTAAAGGCTGTTAGGATGGTGAGATAGGAGGAGAGGACCTATGTCCTCTCTCTATGATTTGTTAGAGAAAATGATATGACTTACTAATTTTTTAATCCTTACACAAGGAAATACATAGTATAAAACATGATAGTTTGAATTTTCATTTCAAATGAAAAAACTGTAGAAGAGGTGAATGTGTATCTCTGAACTGTACTGATGTTAAAATTCTCATTTCTAAAATCTGATTTTAAGGTCAAAGTCATTTCACTTCTGGCTAAGCAGGAAGATTACAATAATTTAATCAATGCCACAATTGCAATTATCTTTTCCTATTAAGTAAGAGTTAACATGTAAATAGCATTTACTATGTGGGAGACATAACTCTATTCATTAAATATTACTAACAGCCCCATTTTACAGATGAGGAAAAGGTGCACAGGTTAAGTAGCCTGTCGACATTACAGAAATGGGAGAGGTACAGTGACAAGAGTTAAGGGACAAGGAAATACTTCCAACCTCCTTTTCCTCCAATCTTATTACCACTACAGAATGATTTCATAACTGTTGGTTGTAGAAATCTCTAATTATGTATAGCCATTTACTGGTGTCTGTTGAGGATGGGAAGAAAAAGGGTCATGTTGGTATTACATTTGTACTTAAAAGAATGATAATAATTGAAAGGAGGATTGCAATGGTGATAATTATGATCTTTTTGAAGTATTTCTACCAAATCCTCCTAGGAATCTTTCTTGTTTTTTGGAATTCTTTGGCCTGAAATAAAAATAAATACAAATGTCATGTTTTACTTCCATTTCTGGATTAATGTGCACACTCTAATACTTCTCAGAGCTATCTGAAAGAACAGATGTAGCTTTATTTTGACGAATCCTAAAACCTCTTAATAGGATTCAACAGATTTTTATAAAGTGATGCATCAAGGTTCCAGGCAGCTGCCTTGTTGTGTTCAGCTGTAATTTTATTAGCCTTATTAGCTCTGTGACCTTGAACAAGTTATAATTCTTTTAGCCTCAATTTCCTCATCTTCCTGTATGATTTTACTTAAATGCTATCATCTCTTACAATAATTGCTACCTCCATTTCTATTCTGAAAACCCTATTCTCCTTCAATACTTAGTTCTTCTCCACAGTACTTACCTCTTAACTAACATTAGGTAAATTTTATTTATTGTTTGTCTAGAATATAAGCTCCATGGAGGCAAGGATTCTTGTGTTTCATTTACTGCTGTAGTCCCAGCATGGAACAGTGCATGACGGACAGCAGATGTTCAATAAGTGTTTGTTGAATGAATGAATACATAAATCTATAAAATTGTGATAATAGTGAGAGGTGAAGCCAGCTGGACTTCCTGGGTTGAGTGGGGACTTGGAGAACTTTTCTGTCTAGCTAAAGGATTGTAAATGCACCTATCAGCACTCTGTGTCTAGCTAAAGGATTGTAAATGCACCAATCAGCACTCTGTAAAAATGCACCAATCAGCGCTCTCTGTCTAGCTAAAGGTTTGTAAATGCACCAATCAGCACTCTGTAAAATGGATCAATCAGCGCTCTGTAAAATGGACCAATCAGCAGGACATGGGCAGGGGCAAATAAAGGAATAAAAGCTGGCCACTCCAGCCAGCAGCAGCAACCCTCTTGGGTCCCCTCCCATGCTGTAGAAGCTTTGTTCTTTCACTTTTCACAATAAATCTTGCTGCTGCTCACTCTTTGGGTCTGCACTACCTTTATGAGCTCCAGCATTCACCTCGAGGGTCTGAGGCTTCATTCCTGAAGTGAGACCAAGAACCCACCGGGAGGAAAAAACAACTCCGACATGCCACCTTTAAGAGCTGTAACACTCACTGTGAAGGTCTGCGGCTTCACTCCTGAAGTCAGTGAGACCATGAACCCACGGGAAGGAAGAAACTCCAGACACATCTGAACATCTGAAGGAACAAACTCTGGACACACCATCTTTAAGAGCTGTAACACTCACCACAATGGTCTGCGGCTTCATTCTTGAAGTCAGCGAGATCAAGAGCCCACCAGAAGGAATAAATTCCGGACGCATTTTGGCAAACCAGCTGGGACTGTCACCAAGTGGTGAGTGCTATTGGACCCCTTTCGCTTGCTATTCTGTCCTATTTTTCCTTAGAATTTGGAGGCTAAATACCAGGCACCTGTTGGCCAGTTAAAAGCGACTAGTGCAGCCACCGGACTAAAGACACGGGTGTCAGGCTTTCTGGGAAAGGGCTCTCTAACAATCCCCGACTCTTCGGAGTTGGGAGTGTTGGTTTGCCTGGAACCAGCTTCCGCTTTTCCTGTACTTCTGGGCTGAGCCAAGGGTTGACAGAGAGGGAAGCCATTCAGCTCCAGGGTCCCGACAACAAGTTGGTTGACCCTGCGGCCATAAGTGGAACTCTCAAAGTCATGTTGCCCAAGCGAGACTCACCCATCTATCCTATCTATCCTGACCCTTGCCTCCTGGATCCTAATGCCTGTCAGACAAACTTCCTCTTGCCTCTCTTCTTTGAGGCTAGTCCCACTTCTAAAAACCACTCCCTGTCTCTGGTGCTTTTCTAGTTTCTCCTATAATAATGATTTCTAGTATAAACCTCAGGACTTTGTTCCCTTCTTTAGGCACCCGGGCTCACCAATCAGAAAGACATAATTTTTGCCCAAAGCCCCATCTGGGGGGTGGGACCATCTGGAATTTTAGGATCCCTCCTCAGACTAGCAGGCCTAACAAAAGCTATTCTTGAAGCTAGGATATGGGGAGCTTCAGAAATGATATCCTTCCTATTCAAGTGAGGACAAAAGGTGTCACATTTCCAACCTTGAAGATCCCTTCCCTCCCTCAGGGTATGGCCCTCCCCTTCATTTTTGGGGCATAACATCTTTATAGGACAGGGGTAAAGTCCCAATACTAACAGGAGAATGCTTAGGACTCTAACAGGTTTTCGAGAATGCATCGGTAAGGGCCACTAAATCCGATTTTTCTCAGTCCTCTTTGTGGTCTAGGAGGACAGGCAAGAGTGCAGGTTTTCGAGAATGCATTGGTAAGGGCCATTAAATCCGATTTTTCTTGGTCCTCTGTGGTCTAGGAGGACAGGCAAGGTGCACATTTTTGAGAATGTGTTGCTAAGGGCCACTAAATCCAACCTTCCTCGGTCCTCCTTGTGGTCTAGGAGGAAAACTGGTGCTTCTGCTGCTGTGTCGGTGAGCGCAACTATTCTGATTAGCAGGGTCCAGGGACCATTGCGGGTTCTTGGGCGGAGGTGGAAACAAACCAAAACTGTGGGTGGTTTTTTCTTTCAGATGGGAAACACTCAGGAACCAACAGGCTCACCCTTGAAATGCATCCTAAGCCATTGGGACCAATTTGACCTGCAAACTCTGAAAAAGAGGTGGCTCATTTTTTTCTGCACTATGGCTTGGCCCCAGTATTCTCTCTGATGGGGAAAAATGCCACCTGAGGGAAGTATAAATTACAATACTATCCTGCAGCTTGACCTTTTCTGTAAGAGGGAAGGCAAATGGAGTAAAATACCTTATGTCCAAGCTTTCTTTTCATTGAAGGAGCATCCACAACTACGCAAAGCTTGCAATTTACATCCCACAGGAGGACCTCTCAGCTTACCCCCATATCCTAGCCTCCCTATAGCTCCCCTTCCTATTAATGGTAAGTCTCCTTTAATCTCCCCTACCCAGAAGGAAACAAGCAAAAAATCTCCAAAGGACTACAAAAACCCCTGGGCTATTGGTTGTGTCTCCTTCAAGCTGTAGGGGGAGGGGAATTTGGCCCAACCTGGGTACATGTCCCTTCTCCCTCTCTGATTTAAAGCAGATCAAGGTAGACCTGGGGAAGCTTTAAGATGATCCTGTTAAGTACATAGATGTCCTACAGGGTCTAGGGAAAGCCTTTGACCTCACTTGGAGAGATGTCATGCTATTAGATCAAATCCTGACCTTTAATGAAAAGAATGTGGCTTTAGCTGCAACCCAAGAATTTGGAGACACCTGGTATCTTAGTCAAGTAAATGATAGAATGACAGCTGAAGAAAGGGACAAATTCCCTACTGGTCAGCAAGCCATCCCCAGTATGGATCCCCACTGGGATCTCAACTCAGATCATGGGGACTGGAGTTGCAAACATCTATTGACCTGTGTTCTAGAAAGACTAAGGATAATTAGGAAAAAGCCCATGAATTATTCAAATGATGTCCACCATAACTCAGGGAAAGGAAGAAAATCCTTCTGCCTTCCTCAAGAGGCTACGGGAGGCCTTAAGAAAATATACTCCCCTGTAACCCAACTCACTCGAGGGTCAACTGGTCCTAAAAGATAAGTTTATTACCCAATCAGCCGCAGATATCAGGAGAAAGCTCCAAAAGCGAGCCCTGGGCCCTGAACAAAATCTGGAGGCATTATTAAACCTGGCAACCTCAGTGTTCTATAATAGGGACCAAGAGGAACAGGCCAAAAAGGAAAAGTGAGGTCAGAGAAAGGCCACAACCTTAGTTATGGCCCTCAGACAAACAAACCTTGGTGGTTCAGAAAGGACAGAAAGTGGAGCAGGCCAATTGCCCAGTAGGGCTTGTTACCAGTGTGGTTTGCAAGGCCGCCTTAAAAAAAGATTGTCCAACGAGAAACAAGCTGCCCCCTCACCCATGTCCACTTTGCCAAGGCAATCACTGGAAGGCACACTGCCCCAGAGGACAAAGTTTCTCTGGGCCAGAAGCCCCCAACCAGATGATCCAACAACAGGACTGAGGGTGCCTGGGGCAAGCGCCAGCTCATGTCATCACCCTCACTGAGCCCCAGGTATGTTTAACCATTGAGGGCCAGGAAATTGACTTCCTCTTGGACACTGGCGTGGCTTTCTCAGTGTTAATCTCCTGTCCTGGACAGCTGTCCTCAAGGTCCATTACCATCCAAGGAATCCTGGGACAGCCTGTAACCAGGTATTTCTCCCAACTCTTCAGTTGTAATTGGGAGACTTTGCTACAGATAGTAAGTATGCTTATCTAATCCTACATGTCCATGCTGCGATATGGAAAGAAAGGGAGTTCCTAACCTCTGGGGGAACCCCCATTAAATATCACAAGGAAACCATGGAGTTATTGCATGCAGTGCAAAAACCCAAGGAGGTGGCAGTCTTATGCTGCCAAAGCCATCAAAAGGGGAAGGAGAGGGGAGAACAGCAGCATAAGTGGCTGGCAGAGGCAGGGAAAGACCAGCAGAAAGGAAAGAGAGAAAGAGACAGAAAGTCACAGAAAGAGAGAGGAAGAGACAGAGACAAGGAGTCAAAGAGAGAGACAGAGGAAGAGACAGAGTCAAAGGGAGAAGGAAAGAGAGGAAGAGACAGAAAGTCATAGAAAGACAGAGAGAGGAAGAAACAGAGAGACAAAGAGAAGGAAAGAAAGGAAGAGACAGAAAGTCATAGAAAGAGAGAGGAAGAAACAGAGACAAAGAGGAGACAGAGGAAGAGATAGACAGTCAAAGAAGGAAAGAGAGGAAGAGACAGACAAAGAGGGAGTCAGAGAGAAAGTCAGAGAGAAAGAGAGAAAGACAAAAGAGTCAAAGAAAGAGAGAAAGAGAGAGAAGTAAAGAAAAAACAGTGAACCCTATTCCTTTAAAAGCCAGGGTAAATTTCTGTCCACCCAGCCAAGGCATATTCTTCTTATGTGGAACTTCAACCTATATCTGCCTCTCAGACAGTTTGCAAGAAATAACAAAATCTATCCTTACTCTACAATCCCAAATAGATTCTTTGACAGCAGTGACTCTCCAAAACCACCGAGGCCTAGACCTCCTCACTGCTTGAGAAAGGAGGACTCTGCACCTTCTCAGGGGAAGAGTGTTGCTTTTACACTAACCAGGCAGGGATAGTATGAGATGCCTCCTGGCGTTTACAGGAAAAGGTTTCTGAAATCAGACAATGCCTTTCAAACTCTTATACCAACTTCTGGAGTTGGGTAACATGGCTTATCCCCTTTCTAGGTCCCGTGACAGCCATCTTACTGTTACTTGCCTTCGGGCCCTGTATTTTTAACCTCCTTGTCAAGTTTGTTTCCTCTAGGATTGAGGCCATCAAGCTACAGATGGTCTTACAAATGGAACCCCAAATGAGCTTAACTAACAAGTTCTACTGAGGACCCCTGGACCAACCCACTGACCCTTTAGTTGGCTTAGAGAGTTTCCCTCTGGAGGACATTACAACTGCAGGGCCCCTTCTTTGCCCCTATCCAGCAGGTAGTAGCTAGAGCAGTCATCGCCCAATTCCCAACAGTGGTTGGGGTGTCCTGTTTAGAGGAGGGATTGAGAGGTGAAGCCAGCTGGACTTCCTGGGTTGAGTGGGGACTTGGAGAACTTTTCTGTCTAACTAAAGGATTGTAAATGCACCAATCAGCACTCTAAAAATGCACCAATCAGCGCTCTGTGTCTAGCTAAAGGTTTGTAAATGCACCAATCAGTGCTCTGTAAAATGGACCAATCAGCACTCTGTAAAATGGACCAATCAGTGCTTTGTAAAATGGACCAATCAGCAGGACGTGGGCAGGGACACATAAGGGAATAAAAGCTGGCCACTCCAGCCAGCAGCAGCAACCCACTCAGGTCCCGTCCCATGCTCTGGAAGCTTTGTTCTTTCTGTCTTCACAATATATCTTGCTGCTGCTCACTCTTTGGGTCCGCACTACCTTCATGAGCTGTAACACTCACCGCAAGCATCTTCAGCTTCATTCCTGAAGTCAGCTAGACCAAGAACCCACTGGGAGGAACAAACAACCCCAGACACGCCACCTTTAAGAGCCGTAACACTCACTGAGAAGGTCTGCAGCTTCACTTCTGAAGTCAGCGAGACCACAAACCCACCGGAAGGAAGAAACTCTGGACACATCTGAACATCTGAAGGAACAAACTCCGGACACACCATCTTTAAGAGCTGTAACACTCACTGTGAGGGTCCGTGGCTTCATTCTTGAAGTCAGTGAGACCAAGAACCTGCCAGAAGGAATAAATTCTGGACACATAGTACATACCACATAGTACCCTAGATTATGCAGATTAACTGAGATAGTGAATACAAGACATCTAGACTGCCATATAAGAGTAAATTATGTCACTATTCTTGTGACACTTTTTTTTTTTTAAGACAAATACTCACTCTATCGCCCAGGCTGGAGTGCAGTGGCACGATCTCAGCTCACTGCAACCTCCACTTCCTGGGCTCAATGGATCCTCTCCCCTCAGCCTCTCAAGTAGCTGGGACTACAAGTGTCAAAAATTAGCCACCATGCCTGGCTAAGTTTTGTAGGTTTTGTGGAGATGGTTCACAATTTGACCATGCTGGTCTCCAACTCCTGGCCTCAAGTGGTCCAGGTGCCTCAGCCTCCCAAAGTGCTGGGATTACAGGTGTGAGCCATTGTGCCCAGCCAATTGTGACAATTTTTTGATGAATAATGAAATACAGATCTTGTTAAGTATTTTGTGATACAAAAAAGCATCATATTTTAACCCAGCTAAATCTAAATAAGCTTACTTTCATTAACATGCAAAACATTATTAAAACAATTCAAGGATTGCTGAGCACAGTGGCTCACACCTGTAATCCCAGTACTTTGAGAGGCCGAGATGAATGAATCACTTAAGGTCAGGAGTTTGAGACCAGCCTAGCCAACATGGCAAAACCCCGTCTCTACCAAAAATACAAAAATTAGCCAGGCGTGATGGTGCGTGCCTGTAATCCCAGCTACTCGGGAGGCATGAGAATCACTGGAACCCAGGAGGCAGAGGTTGCAGTGAGTTGAGATTGTGCCACTGCACTCCAGCCTGGGCAACAGAGTGAGACACTGTCTCAGAGAAACACAAAACAAAACAAAACGGCCAGGCGTGGTGGCTCACGCCTGTAAGTCCAGCACTTTGGGAGGCTGAGGTGGGCGGATCACCTGAGGTGAGAAGTTCGAGACCAGCCTGACCAACATGGTGAAACCCTGTCTCTACTAAAAATACGCAAATTAGCCGGGTGTGGTGGCACGTGCCTGTAATCCCAGCTACTCGGGAGGCTGAGGCAGGAGAATGGCTTGAATCTGGGAGGTGGAGGTTAGAGTGAGCTGAGATTGCACCATTGCACTCCAGCCTGGGCAACAGAACAAGACTCCATCTCAAAAAAAAAATTATATGTAACTGTTTCTGCTTCTTATATAGCTATGATACAACCACATTGCTTGCTGTTTTACATGGACTTCTGCTATCTGCACCTGGATAAGAAGTAAAATTGTAACATATTTCAATTAACATTCTTTATGTATCAGATAAGTTTCTTTACTCAATATGTATGGTCACTTTCCACAAGCAAAGTCAAATGTACATGGTTACAGTGTATGCTATAGGTGGCCTTGGTCCTGGTATGCCACATGGCCTCACAATTCTAATGTATAAGTTATGGGAGCCCCAGGTTTATATATCCAAGATACTGTTGGTTGTTTGCAAGAATCTGGCATATGGAAGCAAGGCGAATTGGTGTACTTTCCGGGACGTTTTAATTTATTGAGTGCTTTAGATGCAAGTACTATATGACACACATATGTATTTTTGCATCTTAATATGCAATACTCATAGTAATCTTGTGAATATTCCTATTTTACAGTGTTGAGGAAAATGAGGCTCAAAAAGGTTTAAGTTACTTGCCTAAGGTTATATAGCTAGTAAGTGGTGGAGTTGGAATTCAAATCCAGAATTGCATGACTACACTGCCTTGTGTAGAAATTTTTAACTAAGGTACGAATGGAGTTTATATTCTCTTAGATGATTTGCTTTCTTTTTTATTAATGAAATGTGCATATATAGTTTGAAAATGCAGAATTCTGTAAAGTTTATGAGTAAACACAGAAGTCTGTTTTCCTACTCCTTACAACCCCCGAATCTATTTCTCAGAGGTAACTACTTTTAGTTCTTTTTGTCTGTTTTGTTTGTTGCGGTATCCCTATTATTTAGATCAACGGCCCTCAACTGGGGGTGATTTTGCCCTCCAGGAGACATTTGGCAAGGCCTGTAGATATTTTTGATTCTCACAACTAGAGAGCGTGCTACTAGCATCTAGTGGATAGAAGTCAAGGATGTGCTAAATATCCTAAAATGCATAGGACAGGCCCCCCACAACACCGAGTCCAAAATGTGCTAAGGTCAAGAAATCTTGACCTAGAACAGTGTTTGATATATAGTGGGCACTCAATAAATATTTGTTAAATGTACCTCAGTTAGATGTTTATTTTTTTCCCCTGGAGTTTGTTTTCCTCTGCATTTCTAGAAAGTGTATATATTTCTTGATTTTTCTGTTTTCATCTATGGAAAAGAGGATTTAACTCTTATCATACTCCCGTATTCCCCTTCCTCAAACAGACATCTTTTCCTTCTTTTCTGTCCTTTCTTTTTGTTTAATCAAAACTGTAAATATTAACTGAGTCATGGATTAAACTGACTTTAATGCATAACTCTTTGGTTTTTGTAGAGCTAATTATATATATATATAATTATATATAATTATATATTTATATATATTATTGTATATTTATATATATAAAATTATATATATAATTAGCTCTAGATATATATATACACTTTTTTTTTTACTGCTCCTTGCAGAGCAGGGCTACCCCGTAGGCAGTGTGCCCAAAATAGCCATATACCTATTATTCATTTGGTCATTATGTTGCTTCTCTAGAGCTAATAATAGGTAATAATATACCTATAATTAAACAACATGTTTTCATTTGTCTTTAATCCATCAACCATTATTTAATTCTCAAACTCTCCAAAGGAGCTGAAAAAACATCCTCCTATTGTTCATTCTTGCGTTGGATCTTTCTGCTTTATCCTGAAGAAGTCCTTAACAGAGCCTTTTGACCTGCTGCAGTCTGGTTTGGTTGGGCTCCATGCAGGTTTTTTATAGAGTTTCAATCTTGGGATCATCGCTAATATCCTGGTAATGTCCTCCTCTTGTGTTGAGTTTTCCTTTTTTTTTCTTTCTTTTTTTTTTTTTGAGATGGAGTCTCACTCTGTCACCCCAGGCTGAAGTGCACTGGCATGATCTCGGCTCACTGCAACTTTCGCCTTCTGGTTCAAGTGATTCTCCTGCCTCAGCCTCCCGAGTAGCTGGGACTACAGGCATGCACCACCACACCCGGCTAATTTTTTATATTTTTGGTACAGATGGGGTTTCACCATGTTGGCCAGGCTGGTCTTGAACTTCTGACCTCAAGTGATCCGCCCGCCTCAGCCTCCCAAAGTGTTGGGATTACAGGCATGAGCCACTGCGCCCGGCTGTGTTGAGTTTTCTATTTTTGTCTCATGTCTTTCTTGATTTATTCACTCTTGTTGGTGGAAAATACCTGCTAAAAACTTTCTTAGGATAAATGGGAGGTATATTTCTGAGAACATAAATGCCTAGAAATGTCTTTATTCTACCCTTACATTGAGTTGGTAATTTGGTTGGGTATATAAATCTAGTTTGGAAATCATTTTCCCTCAGAACTTTGAAAGCATTCCTCCATTTTTCTTTAGCTTCCAGTATTATTATTAAGAAATTGATAGCATTCTAATTGCCAATTTTCTTTTGTCTCTCTCTCTGAAAGACTTCACAATCCTCTCTTCTTGTTTCATGTTTTATAATTTCAAGATTACAGGCTTTCCTGTGGTCCTGATTTCTGTTCACTGAATCTAGAAACTCATGTTATTTAGTTCTAGGAATTTTTCTTGTATTACTCTGATTTCTTCATTTTCTTTTTCTGGAACTCCTGTTATTCATATGTTGGATCTCTTAGATTGATTCTTATTGTCTTTCTCTCTGAGTGAATATCTCAACTTTATATTACAATAATTCTATACTGAATTTTGATTTTTTTACTATTGTTTTAGTTTCCAAAGCTCTTTTTTTCTGTGAATAAGCTTTCATAGAGCTTTCTGTTCTTATTTTAGGAATACATTTTCTTCCATTACTTCTCTCAATGTATTAAAGACTTTTTTTTGAAAAATGAAGCTTTCTTTTGTTCCTGCCTTATATGTTTTGTCTGAGCTCCTTTCCCCCATTTTTTTTTATTATAAAGGATTTTCTCAAATATCTCATGATCTTTATTGTTGATTTACTAAAATTATAACTGGAAACAGTATGAGTGAGTGAGGCTTGTGATTTGGTGGGGTTCATTGTAGAATAATTCAGTGTGGATCTGGCCATTTCAGTGAGGGTATCTGTAAGTCCTTTTCCTTGGACTAGTCAGCTTTTCTAGAGAGGAATTTTTTAATCTCTTGCTGGGGTGAAGCTGGGTAGGAGAGAGGTTGGGGAATGATGACCATATTCAGGATGCAGACTTCCACTTAGGCCATCTGATGTTAATATGCTCATCACTCTGGCCTCAACTGGACCTAGTATCTGAGTTTAGAGCCTCTCTGCTCTGTTGTCTTTAGACAATAAAATTTCTTTTCTTTTCTTTTCTTTTTTTCTTTTTTTGAGATGGAGTCTCACTCTGTCGCTAAGCCAAGGCTGGAGTGCAGTGGCGTGATCTCAGCTCACTGCAACCTCTGCCTCCCAGGTTCAAGCTATTGTCCTGTCTCAGCCTCCTGAGTAGCTGGGATTACAGGCGGGCGCCACTACGCCCGGCTACTTTTTGTATTTTTAGTAGAGACAGGGTTTCACCATGTTGGTCAGGCTGGTCTTGAACTCCTGACGTCGTGATCCGCCCACATTAGCCTCCCAAAGTGCTGGGATTACAGGCATCAGCCACTGCGCCTGGCCAAGAGAATAAAATTTCTATCCCTTCTCAGGGATAAGGCGAGGAGGCAGCATGGCTGTATAAAATAGGTAAGGGGATCTATGGGTAACATGTTCCTTTTAAAGGCTTTACACGTAGTTTTTTATTTCTGGACTAATACTGCATGTCTACTTTTAGAAGTACCATTGCATCTCCAATTTCTTATCCAATTTCTTTCCAAGGTTCTATGGCTTGGATCAGTTTGCATTTTAATGCCTTTTCCTGTAATAAACTTATGCTTTGCTCTATCTACTGAGGCTAATAACAACAGACATCCAGTTTCAGGGTGAAATAAAATATCTTAATTTTTTTTTTTGCCATGGTTTTCTCAAATTTTGATGTTGCCTCTTTTCCTGTAAGAGACACTTCATACAGTCATGTGCTGCATAATGACGTTTTGGTGAATGATGGACATATACAATGGTGGTTCCATAAAATTATAATACCACATTTCTCCTGTACCTTTTCTATGTTTGCATATATTTAGATACACAAATACCATCTTGTTTCAACTGCCTAGAGTATTCAGTACAGTAACATGCTGTACAGGTTTGCAGCCTAGGAGTAACAGGCTATAGTATATAGCCCAGTTGTGTAGTAGGCTATACCATCTAGGTTTGTGCAAGTGCACTCTATGATGTTCACCCAATGATGAAATCACCTACTGATGTGTTTCTCAGAATGCCTCCCAGTTGTTAAGTGATACATGACTATACATATAATGAAAAACTTAATAGATCCATTAATATTGTGGATTATGTATCTCTATAATCCTGCCACTATTACTACCCAGAAATACTAGATAAACAACAAGAAGCAAACTTTTAAATGCAAAACTGAACTTGAAAGAAAGTAAGGGTAAGGCCAGGTGCAGGAAACTAGGAAAGCAGTGAAAATTCACACTGATGCTGCTGCTTCTCTGAATTTGAGAGAGTGATGAAGATGTTGGCCTCTGTCATCCATGGCTTAGGATTTTGGGGCTCACAGGAGACAAGAGGCCAAGCGTGGGCTCACATGAGGAGTACAATGGAACTACACTGAGGTTCCATCCTTCCTGCCTAAACAAACAAACAAACAAACAAAAAACCAAGAAAATAGCAAGCGTTGGAGATAATGTGGAGAAATTGGAACCCTCTTACATTGCTAGTGGGAATTAAAATGGTTCAGCCACTATGGAAAACAGTTTGGCAGTTCCTCAAAAAGTTAAACAGAGAATTACCATATCATCCAGCAATTCCACTCTGTTGCATATACAAGAGAATTGAAAACTGGT
Organism: Homo sapiens; assembly: GCF_000001405.40. Taxonomy (NCBI): domain Eukaryota; kingdom Metazoa; phylum Chordata; class Mammalia; order Primates; family Hominidae; genus Homo; species Homo sapiens. Next base: position 82,327,567 of record NC_000004.12, on the reverse strand, counting down.
GTTTCCAATTATGAACAAAGTTCTATTCAAAAACAAAAATGTGTACACAAGCATTCATAACAGCATTATTCACAATAGCGAAAAGGTAGAAAAAACCCAAATGTCTATTAACTGATGAAGAGGTAAGCAAATTGTGGTATATGTGATATTGGAATAATGGAATTTTTTTTAGTCTTCAGAAGGAATGAAGTACTGATATGTGCTACAACATGGATGAAGCTCGAAAACATCATACTAAGTGAAAGAAGTCCAATACAAAAGATCACATATAAGTCAATTTATAGGAAATTTCCACAGTTGGTAAATTCATAGAAAGAGAAAGCAGATTTGTGGTTGTCAGGGGCTGCTTAATGAGTATGGGGTTTCCTTTTGGGGGTGACAAAAATGTCTTGTAACTAGATAGAGGAGATGGGTGTACAACATTGTAAATACACTAATTGCCACTGAAATGTATACTACAAAGTGTTAATTTGATTTTATGTGAATTTTACCTTGATTAAAAAATATTCTGCCCTGCAGTAGAGAACAGATTGTGTATGTAGGCTTCCTACTCAAACCTAGTGGCCTCAAGGTAGTTGCAAATAAAGAAAGGTTAGGAGTGAGAAAATAGAACTGACCATTGGCACAGGATGGACTAAATGAATTACAGTCATCTTTCAGTATCCATGGAAGGAGGAGGGCTTGGTTCCAGAACCCCTGAGAGTATCAACATCCAAGGATGCTCAAGACTTTTATATAAAATGGCATAGTATTTGCATAACCTATGCACATCCTTCTGCATACATTCGATCATTTCTAGATTACTTAGAATACCTAATACAATGTAAATATTATGTAAATAGCTATGTTGTATTGTTTGCATTTATTTATTTATTTTTAAAATGATACTTTAAGTTCTAGGGTACATGTTCACAACATGCAGATTTGTTACATATGTATACATGTGCCATGTTGGTGTGCTGCACCCATTAACTCGTCATTTACATTAGGTATATCTCCTAATGCTATCCCTCCCCCCTCCCCCAACCCCACGACAGGCCCCGGTGTGTGATATTCCCCATCCTGTGCCCAAGTGTTCTCATTGTTCAGTTCCCACTTATGAGTGAGAACATGTGGTGTTTGGTTTGCCATCCTTGCGATAGTTTGCTGAGAATGATGGTTTCCAGTTGCATCCATGTCCCTACAAAGGACATGAACTCATCCTTTTTTATGGTTGCACAGTATTCCATGGTGTATATGTGCCACATTTTCTTAATCCAGTCTATCATTGATGGACATTTGGGTTGGTTCCAAGTCTTTGCTATTGTGAATAATGCCACAATAAACATACATGTGCATGTGTCTTTATAGCAGCAAGATTTATAATCCTTTGGGTATGTAATACACACCCAGTAATGGGATGGCTGGGACAAATGGTATTTCTAGTTCTAGATCCTTGAGGAATCGCCACACTGTCTTCCACAATGGTTGAACTGGTTTACAGTCCCACCAACAGTGTAAAAGTGTTCCTATTTCTCCACATCTTGTTTGTATTTTTTAATGTTGTATTTTTTTTGTTTTTGAGATGGAGTCTCACTCTGTTGCCTAGGCTGGAGTGCAATGGCACGTTCTCGGCTCACTGCAACCTCTGCCTCCTGGGGTCAAGCGATTCTCCTGCCTTAGCCTCCCGAGTAGCTGGGACTACAGGCACCCACCACCACGCCCAGCTAATTTTTTGTATTTTTAGTAGAGACGAGGTTTCACCGTGTTAGCCAGGATGGTCTCGATCTCCTGACCTCGTGATCCGCCCTCCTCTGCCTTCCAAAGTGCTGGGATTACAGGTGTGAGCCACCGTGCATGGCCTGTTATTTTTTTTCATTAATTTTTAATTTTAATTTTCAAATTCATTATTATTATTATTTTTTGAGATGGAGTCTTACTCTGTCACCCAGGCTGGAGTGCAGTGGTGCAATTTTGGCTCACTGCAAGCTCCGCCTCCTGGGTTCAAGCGATTCTCCTGCCTCAGCCTCCCAAGTAGCTGGGACTACAGGCGCCCGCCACCACTCCCGGCTAATTTTTTGTATTTTTAGTAGAGACGGGGTTTCACTGTGTTAACCAGGATGGTCTCGATCTTCTGACCTCATGATCCACCCGCCTCGGCCTCCCAAAGTGTTGGGATTATAGGCGTGAGCCACTGCGCCCGGCCTAATTTTTATTTTTTTGAGACAGGCTCTTGGTCTGTTGCCCAGGTTGGGGTGCAGTGGTGCGATCATGGTTCACTGCAGCCTTGACCTCCCAGGCTCAAGTGATCCTCCCACCTCACCTTGTTGAGTAACTGAGACCACAGATGCACACCACCACACCTGGCTAATTAAAAAAATTTTTTTTTAGTAGAGAAAAGGTCATGTTGTGTTGTTCAGTCTTGTCTCAAACTCCTGAGCTCAAGCAATCCTTCTACCGTGGCCTCCCAAAGTGCTGGGATTACAGGCATAAGCCACTGTGCCTGGCCTCTGTCATTATTTATGTACGGTATGACTTCTATGTAGAAAATGCAAAGACACTTACAGACAACAATATTACAATAATAGAGTTCAGCAAGATTTGGGTCATAAAAAATCTGTAAAAACTGATGTGTTCGGCCGGGCACGGTGGCTCATGCCTGTAGTCCCAAAACTTTGGGAGGCCAAGGCGGGTGGATCACTTGAGGTCAGGAGTTCGAGACCAGCCTGGCCAACATAGTGAAACCCCATCTCTACTAAAAATACACACACATACACAAAATTAGCTGGGCATGGTGGCGGGTGTCTGTAATCCCAGCTACTTGGGAGGCTGAGGCAGGAGAATCACTTGAACCCGGCAGGCAGAGGTTGCAGTGAGCCAAGATTGCACCATTGCACTCCAGTCTAGGTGACAGAGTGAGACTCCCTCTGAAAAAAAAAAAAAAAAAACCAAAAACTGATGTGTTCCTGTTAAAGAAAATTAAGATGCATTTCTAAAAATATTTACTATCAAGCAAAGTCCTATGGATAAAAAACATTAATTTACAGTAGCAACAGAAACTGTAAAATATAAAGAAATAAACCTCACCAAAGGTGTACAAGACCTTTATGAGAAAAATGATAAAAATCTATTGAAAGATTTTGAAAGAGGCCTAGAAAAAGAGGAGTAGCGTGTTCAGAGATGGGAAACAATATTTTAAAGATGTCAGTTCTCCCTATATTAACATAATTCCAATTAACATACTAATATTTATGTGTGTGTGACTTAAGATGTAGATTCTAAAATTCATTGAAAGAGAAGCCTTGCCAACCCAAATTTCAATAAGTATAAAGTAGGCAAGCTTGTCCTACAAGACATTGAGACTCCTTCTAAAGCCAAAGTAACTGAAATGATAAAGTACTGGCCCAACAATATATACATAGACCAGTAGAATAGGCTATATAAATCAAAAGCATAAAACTTTGTCTGTAATCCCAGCAGTTTGGGAGGCTGAGGTGGGTGAATCACCTGAGCTCAGGAGTTCGAGGCCAGCCTGGCCAACATGGTGAATCCCTGTCTCTACAAAAAATACACAATTAGCCAGGTGTGGCGGTGCGCGCCTGTAATCCCAGCTACTCAGGAGGCTGAGGCACCAGAATTGCTTGAACCCAGGAGGCGGAGGTTGCAGTGAGCCGAGATCACGCCATTGCACTCTAGCCTGGGTGACAAGAGTGAAACTCTGTCCCCCACCCCCGAAAAAAAACAACTTTGTCTATGAAAACTTTATATATGACAGAGTTGGCAGTATAAGTTAAGTAGGAAAGGATAATATAGCCAAAAAATAATGTTTGGTCTACTGGTTATACAGAAAATAATAAATGATTCCTATCTCATACCATATGCAGAAACAAATTCCAAGTGTTTCAAAGATCTGTTTGAGAAACAGAATTTAGAGCTTTTAGGGACAATATAAGAGTATCTTTATAACCTGGGGTAGGGAAAGAGTCCTTAAACAAGACACGGAAAGCATAAACTGTCAAGGACAAGACTGACAAATTTGACTATGTGAAAGTTAGACGGTTTTGTCATAAAATGTTACTATGCGCAAAGTTGAAATTATTTATTAAAAATTATTTTTTCCCTACCACATTGTTAAAAATTGTAAGTATCAGAAAGAATAGGCCAGGTGTGGTGGCTCACACCTGTAATTCTAGCACTTTGGGAGGCCAAGGCGGGTGGATTGCCTGAGCTCAGGAGTTTGAGACCAGCCTGGGCAACATGGCTAGACCTTGTCTCTAATAAAAATACAAACAATTAGCCGGGCGTGGTGGTGTGTGCCTGTAGTCCTAGCTACTCGGGAAGCTGAGACACGAGAATCTCTTGAAACTGGGAGGCAGAGGTTTCAGTGAGTGGAGATTGCATCACTGCACTCCAGCCTGGGCGACAGAGTGAGACGCTGTTTAAAAAAAAAAAAAAAAAAATGCAGAGCAACAGGAACTCTCAAGTATAAACTGGCATAACACTTTGGAGAGCAATTTTGAAATATCTGGTAAAATTAAAGATGTACATATTTTAAGATTCAGCAATTCTATTTCTATCTTTACATCGTAGAGTAAAGGTCCCCAAAATGTGGTGCAAGCAACCCAGTGGGTGCCAGCAACCCAGGAGATTGCATAAGATGATCTACATTTGAGGGCAGGAAAACAAGGTTGGACTCTCTACCCTATGTGGGCATAGGGGCACCGCTGAAGGGTTTGAAGAAGTCCACAGATAATGATCATACTTGGATTTTAAAAGATCACTCTGGTGCCAGTGTGGAGGATGACTGGAGTGGAATAGAACAAAAGGCAGGAAGAACATTTAAATCTGGGGATTACCACAGTCAGACAAGAGATACAGAGCTTGGAGTGACACCGTGAGTGGCCTGGGGAGGAGCAGGAGAGGAATTTTAAACACAATTCAGCTGTACTGTATGATTCTATTTATATAAAATTCTAGAAAAGGCAAAACTATAGTGACAGAAAGCAGATCAGTGGTTGGTGAGACTCACTGTCAAAGGGCATGAAGATTTTAGGATGAAGGAACTCTTATATTTCGATTGTGGTTACAGACAGTATACAATTACCAAATTCATCAAATGCTACCCTTAAAATGAATGAATATTATTATATATAAATAATACCTTTTTTTTAAGTGAAAAAATGGGGCTAAGAAAAAAGATTTAGGAGGTAGAATCAATAGAACTTGGTTATGTGCATATTTTGCTTTATACATAGTGGCTGTTTTTCTAGAAAAGATGTATAGAAATAAAATTGAAAATGCTCTAAGGGAACTATCCAAACTAGTATTCAGACTAATTTATAATAGAGAATTTCAAACATACACAAAAGTTGACAGAATGACATAATGAAACCCAATATACTCAATATTCAGCTTTAACAATTGTCAATTTATGGCCAATTTTGTTTCATTTATATCCCATTCTGCTTTTACCCTGCTACTCAGTTATTCTGAAGCAAATGCTAGATATTATATAATTTTAACCGTAAAAATTTTAGTATAAATCTGTAATAAGTAGAGTTTTTTAAAAAAATAACCACAATACTATTACACCTAAAAAATTAATAGTAATTCTTGAATGTCATCTAATATCCAGCCATAGTTCAAATATCTAATTTTCTCACAAAGTTATATATTTTCCTTTTTACAGTTTGTTTGAATTAAAATCCAAATAAGGACCATTTGATATACCTTTTAATTCCATTTAAAAATTATTATTATGGCCAGGCATGGTGAATCATGCCTGTGGTTCCAGCACTTTGAGTGGATTTCTTGAGCCAACATAGCAAGACACATAAATTAGCCAGGCGTGGTGGCAAGCTCCTGTAATCCCAGCTACTCAGGAGTCTAAGGTGGGAGGATCGCTTGAACACGGAAGATCAAGGCTGCAGTGAGTTATGACTGCACCACTGCACTCCAAGTTGGGTGACTGAACGAGACCCTCTCTCTCAAAAAAAAAGAAAAACAATTACTATCATTTTAAAGAGACGGAGGTCTCACTGTGTTGCTCAGGGTGGAGTGCAGTGAATATTTACAGGCACAATCACAGGTCATTGCAGCCTCGAACTCTTGAGCTTAAAAAACCCTCCTGCCTCAGCCTCTTGAGTAGCTGGGATTACAGGCTCATGCCACTGCGTCTGGCTTTAACTTCATTTTTAAAATAAGTTCCCTTTCTCTTCTTTTTACCTTTGCAATTTATTTGTTGACTAATCTGTATTTTCTTAATGTAAGAACTCCTTCTATTATGCAAATAAGCACTGTTTAATTTAGTGAGTTTCTTTTCTATTTTTTTTTTTTTTTTTTTTCAGAGACAGAGTCTCACTCTGCTGCCCAGGCTGGAGTGCAGTGGCACGATCTCAGCTCACCGCAACTTCTGCCTCCTGGGTTCAAGTGATTCTCCTGCCTCAGCCTCCCGAGTAGCTGGCACTACAGCAGCGTGCCACCACAGCTGGCTAATTTTTTGTATTTTTAGTAGAGATGGGGTTTCACCGTGTTAGCCAGGATGGTCTCGATCTCCTGACCTCGTGATCCACCCACTTCGGCCAAAGTGCTGGGATTACAGGCGTGAGCCACCACACCCAGCCGAGATTGTCTTGCTCTGTCACTCAGGCTGGAGTGCAATGGCATGATCATGGCTCACTGTAGCCTCAACCTCCCAAGTTTAAGCGATCCTCCTGTCTCAACCTCCTAAGTAGCTGGGTAGCTGGGACTTCAGATGGCTCACCACTGCGACTGGTTAATTTTTAATTTTTTGTAGAGACAAGGTCTCACTATGTTAGCCAGGCTAGTCTGAAACTCCTGAACTCAAGCTATTCTCTGGCTTTGGCCTCCCAAAGTACTGGGATTACAGGCATGAGCCACTGTGTCTTGCCATGGGTTTCTTTATTTGGATTGTTTTATAATTAATTCTTTTAATATTTTAGTTGCATTCCAAGAATTTTTTGATGAAGGATTATCTCACAGTATGCCTAGTATGTTTTTGCTTTTGGCAATTTGTCTCAAGGGCAGCAATCGTATGACTTACAGCACTGTTTAGACATCAACACAGGTGTGAGTCACTTAACAGTTGTTTGGAGATCATCTGTTCTATCAAGGAAGGTATTCAATCTTTCTTCTTTTTCCAAAATTTTATCGATATTTTGTGTCATTACATTTTTTACATCAGTCACTTGACGGCTCATTGTGGAAATGGTGCGGTCACCTTGATTTTTATTGTATTTCATCTATATAGAAATGAAATATAGAAATTTTATTTTATAAACAAAATCCATTATAATATACTGTACAAACTGGAACAATAATGTGAAAGGCATATTTCACTTTTATTTCAGTATAGAGAATCAATTAAATCTCACATTGTCCCCCCTTCATCTTGCAAAACAAAACGAAACAAAAAGGCAGAGGGAACGGATAAATCAATGTATTCAATCAGCAGTGGAAAGTTTTAAAAAACTTAAATTTGTTTATTTTACAAAATAGACTTTATTTTTTGGAGCAGGTTTAGGTTCACAGTCAAATTGAGTAGAAAGTAGACAAATTTCCCATATATATTCCCTTGCTACCACAAATGCACAGCCTCTCTATCAACATCCTGCACTAGAATGGTACATTTGTTACAACTGATGACCCCACAGTCTATGATTAGGGCTCATTCTTGGTGCTGTATCTTTTATGTGTTTGGACAAATGTAAAATGACATGTATCCACCATTACAGTATTATACAGAATAGTTTCATTGCCCTTAAAATTCCATGCTCTGCCCATGCTCTGCCCATTCAGCTCTCCCTCCCACCAGGCACTGGCAACCACTGACTTTTTTTACAGCATCCATAGTTTGCTTTTTCCAGAATGTCATAATTGTTGTAATCATATAGTGTGTAGCCTTTTCAGATTGGCTTCCTTCACTTAGTAATATGCATTTAAGTTTCCTCCATGTCTTTTCATGGCTTGTTGCCTCATTTATTTTTAGCACTGAATACCATTCCACTGTCTGGAATTACCACAGTTACATCCATTCACTTACTGAAGGACATCTTGGTTGCTTCCAAATTTTAACAATTACAAGTAAGGTGGTTATAAACATCCACATGCTAGTTTTTGTGTGGACATGTTTTCAACTCATTAGGGCAAATACCAAGGAGTGTGATGGTTAGATTGTATTGTAAGAGTACGTTTAGTTTTGTAAGAATCTGCCAAACTGTCTTCCAAGTTGGCTGTACCATTTTGCACTCCCACCAGCAATGAATGGAGTTCTTACTGTGCCACATCCTTGTCAGCACTTAATGTTGCCAGTCTTTTGGATTTTGGCCATTCTAATAGTTATAATGGTATTTCATTGTTATACTTTGCAATTCCCTAATGGCATATAATATTGAGCATCTTTTTATATGTTTATTTACCATTTGTATATCTTTTTTGGTGAGGTGTCTATACAGGGTTGTTTTGTTTTGTTTTGTTTTGTTTTAACCAGCATTCTCTATGACTCACCTGATGCCTATTTTAAAATCAGGTTCTAAAAAATTATTGTTGTTGAGTTTTAAGAGTTCTTTGTATATTTGGGATAAAAGTCTTGTCAGGTTTGTCCTTCTTCTTCTTCTTCTTTTTTTTTTTTTTTTTTGAGACAGGGTCTCACTCTGTTGCCCAGGCTGGAGAGTACACAACACATGGGAATTCTGGGAGATACAATTCAAGTTGAAATTTGGGTGGGGACACAGCCAAACCATATCATTCTGCCCCTGGCCCCTCCAAATCTCACGTTCTCACATTTCAAAACCAATTATGCCTTCCCAACAGTCCCCCAAAGTCTTAACTCATTCTCATCTCAGCATTAACCCAAAAGTCCACAGTCCAAAGTCTCATCTGAGACAAGGCAAGTCCCTTCCACCTATGAGCCTGTAAAATCAAAAACAAGCTAGTTACTTCCTAGATATAATGGGGGTACAGGTATTGGGTAAATATGGTCATTCCAAATGGGAGAAATTGGCCAAAACAGAGGGGTTATAGGGCCCATGCAAGTACAAAATCCAGTGGGACAGTCAAATCTTAAAGCTCTAAAATGATCTCCTTTGGCTCCAGGTCTCACATCCAGGTCACGCTGATGCAAAAAGTAGGTTCCCATGGTCTTCGGCAGCTCTGCCCCTGTGGCTTTGCAGGGTACAGCCTCTCTCCTAGCTGCTTTCATGGGCTGGCATTGAGTGTCTGTGGCTTTTCCAGGTGCACAGTGCAAGCTGTCAGTGGATCTACCATTCTGGGGCTTGGAGGATGGTGGCCCTCTTCTCACAGCTCCACTAGGCAGTGCCCCAGTAGGGACTCTGTGTGGGGGCTCCAACCCCACATTTCCCTTCTGCACTGCCCTAGCAGAGGTTTTTCATGAGGGCCCCACCCCTGCAGCAAACTTTTGCCTGGGGGTCCAGGCATTTCCATACATCTGCTGAAACCTAGTTAAAGGTTCCCAAACCTCAGTTCTTGGCTTCTGTGCACCTGCAGGCTCAACACCACGTGGAAGCTGCCAAGTCTTGGGGCTTGCACCCTCTGAAATCACAGCCTGAGGTGTACATTGGCCTGTTTTGGCCATGGCTGGAGTGGCTGGGACACAGGGCACAAAATGCCTAGACTGCACACAGCACGAAGACCCTGGGCCCAGCCCAGGAAACCATTTTTTACTCCTGGGACTCCAGGCCTGTGATTGGAGGAGCTGCTGAAGGTCTCTGACATGGCCTGGAGATATTTTCCCCATGGTCTTGGGGATTAACATTAGGCTCCTTGCTACGTATGCTAATTTCTGCAGCTGGCTTGAATTTCTCCCCAGAAAATGGGTTTTTCTTTTCTATTGCATAGTCAGGCTGCAAATTTGCCAAAGTTTTATGCTCTGTTTCCCTTATAAAACTGAATGCCTTTAACAGCACCCAAGTCACATCTTGAATGCTTTGCTGCTTAGAATTTTTTTCCACCAAATACCCTAAATCATCTCTCTCAAGTTCAAAGTTCCACACATCTTTACAGTAGGGGCAAAATGCCACCAGTCTCTTTGCTAAAACATAACAAGAGTCACCTTTGCTCCAGTTCCCAACAAGTTCCTCACCTCCATCTGAGACCACCTCAGCTTGAACCTTATTGTCCACATCACTATCAGCATTTTGGGCAAAGCCATTCAACATGTCTCTAGGAAGTTCCAAACTTGCCCACATTTTCCTGTCTTCACCTGAGCTCTCCAAACTCTTCCAACCTCTGCCTGTTACCCAGTTCCAAAGTCACTTCCACATTTTCAAGTATGTTTTCAGCAAGGCCCCCCTCTACTGGTACCAATTTACTGTATTAGTCTGTTTTCATGCTGCTGGTAAAGACATACCTGAGACTTGGAAGAAAAGGTTTTAATTGGACTTACAGTTTCACATGGCTGGGGAGGCCTCAGAATCATGGCAGGAGGTGAAAGGCACTTCTTACATGGGGATGGCAATAGAAAAATGAGGAAGAAGCAAAAGCGGAAACCCCTGATAAACCCATCAGATCTGATGAGACTTATTCACTATCACAGAATGGCATGGGAAAGACCAGGCCCATGATTCAATTATCTCCTTATGGGTCCCTCCCACTACACGTGAGAATTCTGGGAGATACAATTAAAGTAGAGATTTGGGTGGGGAAACGGCCAAACCATATCACATTGCTTTCACTGTATCCCACACGTTTTGATACATTGTATTATTATTTTCATTTAGTTTGAAATATTTTAAATTTTTCTTGAGATTTCTTCTTTGACTTGTGTTACTTAGAAGTATGCTGTTTAATGTCCAAATACCTGGGGGACTTTCCAGCTATCTTTCTGTTACTGATTTCTAGTTTGATTCCACTGCGGTTTGAATAACTATATATTGCATTATTTCTTTAAAATTTATTAATGTGTGTTTTATGGCCCTGAATGTGATCTCTATTAGTCAATGTTTCATGTGAGCTTGAGAAAAATGTGTATTCTGCTGTTGTTGAATAAAATATTCTATAGATGTCAATGATAACCAGTTGATTAATGGTACTGTTCAAGTACATTCTTTCTAATTTTCTGCCTGCTAGAACTGTCTATTTCTTAATGAGGGGTGTTGAAGTCTCCAAATATAGTAGCGGATTCATCTATTTTTCCTTGGGATTCTATCAGTCTTTGCCTCATGTATTTTGCCATTCTTTTGTTAGGTGAATATACATTAACAATTGCTATTTCTTCTTAGATAATTGACCCTTTTATCATTATATAATGTCTTTTTTTATCCCTGACAATATTCCTTGCTCTGAAGTCTACTGTTTGATATTAAAATAGCTACTCTAGCCTTCTTTTGATTAGTGTTAGAATGATATGTCACTCTCCATACCTTTACTTTTACTCTCTATGTGCCTTCGTATTTAAAGTGGGTTTCTTTTAGCCAACATATAGTTCAGTTATGTTTTTTGCTCCATTAGGACAATTTCTGTCTTTTATTTAGTATATTTACACCATTAATGTTTACAGTGATTATTAGTATAGTTGTATTAATACCTACCATATTTGTTACTGTTTTCTATTTGTTGCCCTTTTCCTTTGTTCCTATTTTTGTCTTCCACTCTCTTCTGCCTTTTTTTGCTTTTAATTCACCATTTTTATGTGACTATATTATTTTATTTTCTCTCCTGTTTTTAAAAGTATCAATTATACTACTTACTTTAAAAAAGTGGTTTCCAGGCCGGTGCGGTGGCTCACACCTGTAATCCCAGCACTCTGGGAGGCCGAGGCAGGCGGATCCCCTGAGGTCAGTTCTTGACCAGCCTGGCCAACATGGCAAAACCCCGTCTCTAATAAAAATACAAAAATTATCCGGCATGGTGGCAGTCGCCTAATCTCAGCTCTCGGGTGGCTGAGGCAGGAGAATCGCTTGAACCTGGAAGGTGGAGCTTGCAGTGAGTTAAGATTGTGCCACTGCACTCCATCCTGGATGGCAGAGCGAGACTCCATCTCAAAAAAAAAAAAAAAAAAGAAAAAAAGTAGTTTCCCTACAGTTTGCCATATACATTTACCACTAATTCAAGTTCACTTTCAAATAATACTATACTACTTTATGGGTAATGTAAGTACTTTATAATAACAAAATAATCCTAACTCCTCCCTCCTGTCCCTTGTATCATTTCTACCATTCATTTTACTTATATATAAGCTATAATCATCTAATACAGATGCTCCTTGACCTATGATGGGATTATGTCAAGATAAACCCACTGCAAGTTGAACATATGTGTCAAAATGTATTGAATAACACCTAACCTACTGAACATTATAGCTTAGCCTGCCCTACCTTAAATGTGCTCAAAACACTTACATTAGCCTACAATTGGACAAAATCCTCTAACACAAAGCCTATTTTATAATAAAGTGTTGAAAATCTCATGTAATTTGTTGAATATACTAAGCTGAAAGTAAAAAACTGAATGGCTATATGGGTACTTGAAATGCAGTTTCTACAGAATGCATATTGCTTTTGCACCATCATAAAGTTAAAAAAATCATAAGTTGAGCCATCACAAGTTAGGGACAGTTTGCATATTGTTGTTATATTTTGAACAAACCGTTATCTATTAGATCAATTAAGAACTAAAGTTTAGGCCGGGCGTGGTGGCTCATGCCTGTAATCCCAGCACTTTGGGAGGCCGAGGTGGGCGGATCACGAGGTCAGGAGATCAAGACCATCCTGGCTGACATGGTGAAACCCCGTCTCTACTAAAAATACAAAAAATTAGCTGGGCATAATGGCGGCTGTAGTCCCAGCTACTCAGGAGGCTGAGGCAGGAGACTGGCATGAACCTAGGAGGCGGAGCTTGCAGTGAGTGGAGATCCCACCACTGCACTCCAGCCTGGGTGACAGAGCAAGAATCTGTCTCAAAAAAAAGAAAAAAAGAACTAAAGTTTATATTTTACCTTCATTTATTCCTTCTGTAATCTCCTTCCTCCTCCTCCTCCTCTTCTTCTTCTCTGTATATACTGTGGTTTTAATGTGTCCCACAAAGTTCATGTATTGGAAAGTTAATGCAATAACCCAATAGATGTGTTCACTGTAATATCCAATAATCCAATAAATTTCTATTCATTATAAATTACCCATTCGTAGTATTCTGTTTTAGCAGCACAAAATGGTTGAAGACAACACAGATCCAAGTTTCTGACCTATATATTTTTCTTTATCTTAGATTCTATATAATTGTCTTTTTAAAAAAATCTTTTATTTTGTTTTTAACATGATATACCTAGGTGTAGTTTTTTTTCTTTTTTTTCATTTATTCTACTTGGTGTTCTCTGAACATCCTGGATCTGTGGTTTGATGTCTGACATTAATTTGGGGAAATTATCAGTCATTAGTGCATCTAATATTGCTTTTTTTCCTTTCTCTCTTTCTTCTACTTCTGATATTCCCATTATGTGTATTGATCCTCACAAAAGTGTGGGAGAACCTCCTATTACTGGGCCCCCACTGAAGCAATTTGTCAGTTACTGTTTAGGTTTTCCTACCCTATTACTGGTTCATGTGAAGGTTTCTGCTGACGGGTTTCTGTTCTGGTAAGTTGTGAATCTCTGTATTTGTCTGTCTGGATCTTCAAGTGGCAGCAATTTGCCCTATGACCTCACTTCTCTGATGGATATACAAAAAATTGGTGATTTTACAGTTTGGCCAGTTTATTACTTGTTGTTAGGATGGAGTGGTAACCTTCAAGGTCCTTACATGGTGGACCCGAAACTGGAGGGCCATATAAATTTTTTTTTATTATTTCTAAAAAAATTTTTTAAAAATTACAATGGATTTGGGGGTACAAGTGTTTTTTGGTTGCATGAATGAATTACATAGTGGTGAATTCTGAGATTTTAGTGTACCTGTCACCTGAGTAGTGTACATTGTACCCAATATGTAGTTTTTAATCCCACACTCCCTTCCTACCCTTTCCCTTCTTCTTTTTTTTTTTTTTTTTTTTTTTTGAGATAGAGTCCCGCTCTGTTGCCCAGGCTGGGGTGCAGTGGTGCGATCTCGGCTCACTTAATCTCTGCCTCCTAGGTTGAAGTGATTCTACTGCCTCAGTCTCCTGAGTAGTGGGGATTACAGGTGCATGCTACCACACCGGCTAATTTTTGTATTTTTAGTAGAGACAGGGTTTCACCATGTTGGGCAGGCTGGTATCGAACTCCTGATCTCAGGGATCCACCTGCCTCGTACTCCCAAAGTGCTGGGATTACAGGTGTGAGTCATCGCGCCTGGCCACCCTTCCCCTTCTGAGTCTCCAAAGTCCATTGTATCACTCTGTCTGCCTTTCTGTACTCATAGCTTAGCTCTCACAAGTGAGAACATGTGGTGTTTGGTTTTCCATTACTGAGTTACCCACTTAGAATAATGGACTCCAGCTCCATCAAAGTTGCTGCAAAAGATATTGTTTCATTCCTTTTTAGGGCTGAGAAGTGTATTCCATGAAGTATATACACCACATTTTCTTTATCCACACATTAGTTGATGGGCACTTAGGCTGGTTCCATATCTTTGCAATTGTGAATTGTGCTATAGTAAACATATGTGTGCATGTGTCTTTTTCATATAATGATTTATTTTCTTCTGGGTAGACACCCAGCAACGGGATTGCTGGATCGAATGGTAGACTTGCCTTTAGTTCTTTAAGGAACTTCCATGATGTTTTCCATAGAGGTTGTACTAATTTACATTCCCACCAGCAGTGTATAAGCATTCCCTTTTCACCACATTCATGCCAACTTCCATTTTTAAAAATTTTTATTTATTTATTTATTCATTTATTAACTATGACCACTCTTCCAGGAGTAAGGTGCTATCTCATTGTGGTTTAAATTTGCATTTCCCTGATGATTAGTGATGTTGAGCATTTTTTCATATGTTGTTGGCCATTTGTATATCTTCTTTTGAGTAATGTTTATTCATGCCATTTATCCACTTTTTGATGAGATTATTTATTTTTTCTGCTGCTTTAAGTTTCTTGTAGATTCTAGATACTAGTCCTTTGTTAAACACAGTTTGCAAAATTATTTTTCCACTCTGTAGGTTGTCTGGTTACTCTGATAATTATTTCTTTTCCTATGCAGAAGTTTTTTAGTTTAATCAGGTTTCATTCATTTATTTTTGTTTTTGTTGCATTTGCTTTTGGGGTCTTAGTCATGCATACTTTGCCTAGGCCAATGTCCAGAAGAGTTTCCCCAAGGTTATCTTCTAAAATTTTTATGGTTTTAGGTCATATTTTTAAGTCTTTGTTCCATCTTGAGTTGATTTTTGTACAAGATGAGAGATAGGGATCCAGCTCCATTCTTTTACATGTGGCTAGCCAGTTTTCCCAGTACCATTTATTAAATAGGGTGTCCTTTCCCCAATTTATGTTTTTGTATGCTTTGTCAAAGATCAATTGGTTCTAAGTTTTTGGCTTTATTTTTGGGTTCTCTATTCTATTCCATTGGTCTCTGTGCCTACTTTTATAACAGTACCATGTTGTTTTGGTAACTACAGCCTTGCAGTATAATTTGAAGTACAGTAATATGCCTCTAGATTTGTTCTTTTTGCTTAGGATTGCTTTGGCTATGCGGGCTCTTTTTTGGTTCCATATGAATTTTATAATTCTTTCCTAATTCTGTGAAAAATGATGTTGATATTTTGATGGGAATTGAATTGAATCTGTAGATTGCTTTGGGCAGTGCCCTGGGGATCTAAATAAACTTGAAAGGCAGTCCTCGGCCACAAGGAATGCAATTCCTGGACAAGTCCTGGTGCTGTGCTAAGCTTGGAACTAGTGGACTTGGGGGGCAGGTGAGCTAGTGAGACACTAGCCAGGGAGGCCAAGGGAGTGCTTGTGCCAACTCTCCCCCAACCCCAGGCAGTGCAGCTTGCACCTCTGGGAGAAATTCTTTCCTTCTGCTTGAGGAGAGGAGAGGGATGAGTAAAGAAGACTTTGTCTTGCAACTTGGATACTAGCTCAGCCACAGTAGGATAGGGCAACAGGTAGAGTTTTGACACCCTCATTCCAGGCCCTAGCTTCTGGACAATATTTCTAGACATATTTGGTGCCAGAAAGGAACCAAAGGAACCTGCTGCCTTGAAGGAAAGAACCAGTCCTGGTAGGATTCATCATCCACTGACTAAAGAGCCCTTGGGCCCTGAATAAGCAGCAGCAGTAGCCAGGTGTTATACGCTGTGGGCCTTGGGGAGACTTTGAGATGTGCTGGCTTCAGTTGTGACTTAGCACATTCCCAGCTGTGGTGGCTACAGGGAGAGACTCCTCCTGCTTGAAAAAAGGTGATGAAAGAGTAAAGGGGACTTCATCTTGCAGCTTAGATACCAGCTTGGCACTAAGTGGGTTCTTGGGATCCCTAAATCCAGGCCTTCACTCTTGGATGGCATTTCTGGACCTATCCTGGGCCAGAGGGGAGCCCAATGCCCTGAAAGTAGAGTCTGTGGCCTGGCAGCATTGTGTGAAATGCCTCTGGGTCTTGCGTGAGTATCAGCAGTAGCCAGGCAGAACTTGCTACGGGCTTGGGGAAGTGCTGGCCATGGGGAGAGACCCCTCTCCTTATGGAAGGGAGAGGGAAGAGTGAGAAGGACTCTGCCTTGTGGCTTCGGTGCCAGCTTAGCCATAGTAAAATAGAACATCAGGTAGATTCCTAAGGTTTCTGACTCCAGGCTCTGGCTCTTAGATGGCATCTCTGGACCTGCCTAGGGCACTGGGGGAACTAGCAGTTCTGAAGGGAAGGACAAAAGCCTATCTGGCTTTGCCACCTGCTGATTGTAGAGCTCTAGGGCTTTGAGCAAACATGGGCAGTGGGCCTCGGGTGAGACCTAGTGCTGTGCTGGCTTCAGGTCTGAATCAGAGCAGTCCTAGTGGTGGTAGCCACAGGGTGCTTATATCACCATTCCCCCCAAGCTCCAGGCAGTTCAGCACAGAGAGACTCTATTTGGGAGAAAATAAAGGAAGACAACAAGAGTCTCTGCCTGTTGATCCAGAGAATTCTTCTGGATCTTACACAAGACCATCAAGGGGGTACCTCTATGAGTCTGCAAAAGCCACAGTGTTACTGGCTTTGGGGTGCCCCTGAATGCAGATATGGCTGCAGTGACCAAAAACTTAGATCACAATACCCAAGTCCCTTTGAGTACTTAGAAAGCCTTCCCAAGATGAATGGGTATAAATAAGCTCAGACTGAGAAGACTACAATAAATATTTAACTCTTCAATGCCCAGACAACAACAAACATCCAGCATCAAGACCATACAGGAAAACATGACCTCACCAAATGAACTAAAGAAGGCATTAGTGACCAATCCTGGAGAGACAGAGATATATGACCTTTCAGACGAGAATGCAACATGGCTGTTTTGAGGAAACTCAATGAAATTCAGAATTCCATCAGATAAATTTAATAAAGAGACTGAAATATTAAAAAGAATCAAGCAGAAATTCTGGAGCTGAAAAATGCAATTGACATACTGAAGCATGCATCAGAGTCTCTCTTTTTTTTTTTTTTTTGAGACGAAGTCTCACTCTGTCACCCAGGCTGGAATGCAGCAGTGTGATCTCGGCTCACTGCAAGCTCCGCCTCCCAGGTTCATGCCATTCTCCTGCCTCAGCCTCCTGAGTAGCTGGGACTACAGGTGCCCGCCACCAAGCCCCGCTAATTTTTTTGTATTTTTAGTAGAGACGGGGTTTCACTGTGTTAGCCAGGAAGGTCTCGATCGCCTGACCTCGTGATCCGCCCGTCTTGGCCTCCCATAGTGCTGGGATTACAGGCATGAACCACTGTGCCCAGCCCACATCAGAGTCTCTTAACAGCAGAACTGATCAAGTAGAAAAAGAATTAGTGAGCTTGAAGACAAGCTATTTGAAAATACACAGTCAGAGGAGAAAAAAGAATAAAAAAGAATGAAGCATGCCTATAAGATCTAAAAAATAGCCTCAGAAGGGCAAATCTGACCAGGTGCGGTGGCTCACGCCTGTAATCCCAGCACTTTGGGAGGCCGAGGTGGGTGGATCACCTAAGGTTGGGAGTTTGAGACGAGCCTGGCCAACATGGTAGAACCCTGTCTCTACTAAAAATACAAAAATTAGCCGGGCGTGGTGGTATGTGCCTGTAATCCCAACTGCCTGGGAGGCTGAGGCATGAGAACGGCTTGAACCCGGGAGGCAGAGGTTGCAGTGAGCTGAGATCATGCCACTGCACTCTAGCCTGGGTGACAGAGTGAGACTGTCTCAAAAAAAAAAAAAAAAAAAAAAAAGGCAAATCTCAGAGTTATTGGCCTTAAAGTGGAGGTAGAGAGAGAGAGATAGGAGTAGAAAGTTTATTCAAAGGGATAATAACAGATATCTTCCCAAACTTAAAGAAAAATATCAGTATTCAAATATAAGAAGATTATAGAACACCCAAAGAGGATTTAACCCAAATAAGACTACGTCAAGGCATTTAACATTCAATCTCCCAAAGGTCAAGGATAAAGAAAGGATCCTAAAAGCAGCAAGAGAAAAGAAACAACATTCAATGGATCTCCAATACATCTGGCAGCTGACTTTTCAGTGGAAACCTTATAAACAAGGAGAGAATGCCATGACATATTTAAAGTGCTGAAGAAAAAACCCTACAATAGTGTATCTGGCAAAAATAAAACATAAAAGGGAAATAAAGACTTTCCCAGACAAACTGAAGCTGAGGGATTTCATTAACACCAGACCTTTCCTATAAAAAATGCTAAAGAAAGTACTTCAATCAGAAAGAAAACAATGTTAATTAGCATTAAGTAATCACCTGAAGGTACGAAACTCACTGGTAATAGCATGTACACAGAAAAGCACAGGATATGAGAACACTGTAACTGTGGTGTGTAAACCACTCTTATCCTAAGTAGAAAGACTAAATGATGAACCAACAAAAAATAATAGCAGAAACAACTTTTCAAGACATAGACAGTACAATAAGATATAAATAGAAACATCAAAAAGTTAAAAAGCAGGGGGGATGAAGTTAAGATATAGAGTTTTTATTAGTTTTCTTTCTGCTTGTCTGTTTACGCAAACAGTATTAATTAGTTATCAGGTTAAAATAATGGGTTATAAGATATTATTTGCAAGCCTCATGGTAACCTCAAACCAAACAAATATACAGTGGATACATAAAAAATAAAACACAAGAAACTAAATTATATCACCAGAGAAAATCAACTTCACTAAAGGAAGACGGGAGGGAAAGAAGGAAAAGAAGACCACAAAACAACTAGAAAACAAAGAACAAAATGAAGAGTAAGTCCTTACCTATCAATAAAATAACATTTAATGTAAATGAACTAAACTCTCCAATCAAAAGACATAGAATGGCTGGCCAGGCACATTGGCTCATGCCTGTAATCCTAACACTTTCGGAGGCTGAGGCAGGTGGAATGCCTGAGCTCAGGAGTTTGAGAACAACCTGGGCAACATGGTGAAACCCCATCTCTACTAAAAAAAAAAAATACAAAAAATTAGTTGGGCATGGTGACGTGCGCCTGTAGTCCCAGCTACTCAGGAGGTTGAGGCATGAGAATTGTTGGAACCCAGGAGGCAGAGGTTGCAGTGAGCTGAGATAGTACCACTGCACTCCACCCTGGGAAACAGAGTGAGACTGTCTCAAAAAACAAAAACAAAAACAAAACAAAAAAACAAAAAACAAAAAAACACACATAAAGGCATAGACTGGCTGAATCAATTAAAAAAACAAGACCCACTGATATGTTGCCTTCCAGAAACACACTTCACCTATAAAGACACACACAGATTGAAAATAAAGGACTGGAAAAAGATATTCCATGCCACTGGAAACCAAAAAAAAAAAAAAAAAAAGAAAGACTGGAGTAGCTATATTTATATCAGACAAAATAGATTTTTTTTTTTTTTTTTGAGATGGAGTCTCACTCTGTCGCCCAGGCTGGAGTGCAGTGGTGCAATCTTGGCTCACTGCAAGCTCCGCCTCCTGGGTTCATGCCATTCTCCTGCCTCAGCCTCCCGAGTAAATGGGACTACAGGCACCTGCCACCATGCCCAGCTAATTTTTTGTATTTTTAGTAGAGACGGGGTTTCACCATGTTAGCTAGGATGGTCTTGATCTCCTGACCTAGTGATCCACCCACCTCAGCCTCCCAAAGTGCTGGGATTACAGGCATGAGCCACTGCGCCTGGCATTTTTTTTTTTTTTTTTGAGACGGAGTCTCGCTCTGTCACCAGGCTGGAGTGCAGTGGCGTGACCTTGGTTCACTGGTTCACCACAACCTCCACCTCCCAGGTTCAAGCGATTCTCCTGCCTCAGCCTCCCGAGTACCTGGGACTACAGGCACGTGCCTCCGTGCCCAGCTAATTTTTGTATTTTTAGTAGAGATGAGGTTTTACCACATTGGCGAGGATGGTCTCGATCTCTCAATCTTGTGATCTGCCTGCGTCAGTCTCCCAAAGTGCTGGGATTACAGGTGTGAGCCACTGTGCCTGACCTGACAAAATAGATTTCAAGACAAAAATATAAGAAGATACAATAAGGTCACTATATAATAATAAACGGGTCAGTTTGGCAAGAGGATATAACAATTTAAAATATATATGAACTCAACACAGGAGCAACCAGGTATATAAAGAAAACATTAGCACTATATTGCCCAGGTGGAAGTCTCTTTTAATCTATGGTTTCTCCTTAACTTTCTCCACTTGGCAATTTATTTTTTGAAGAAGTTAGGACATTTGTCTTGTAGAGTTTTTCATATTCTGAATTTTGCTGATTATATCACTTCAGTATCATTTAATGTGAATGCTGATCTCTCTATTTCCTATAAACTGGCAGTTAGAGCTAAAGGCTTGGTCTGATCCAGTTTTGATATTTTTGGGTAAATGTGTTTCAGATGTGTGCTTTATAAGACTCATTGTGTGGCATCAAGAAGCACATTACTGTCTCTCTTATTTTGAGCTTAAGAAAAATTAGTGGGTTTAGGTGTTCTGAGCCTGTTTCATCCATTACAAAGTTCCTCATCAGGTTTTTACCTAAATTTTTTTGTCAGTTATTGATGATGATTGTCTAGGTCCATTATTTCATTAGGGATTCCACAATGGTGATATTTTATCACCTCTTCATCATTTATTAGCTAGAATACTTCCATAAAGAGAAATGACTTTTCCCTATCAACTTTCTGGTTCCTTTGAGGTATGGTTCATACAAGAATGTTAGAATAAATGCTTGATTCCTTCCTTTTATTTATCAGTTTTCAGAGTAATGAGGTAGATTAGTAGTACTTATCAAAGTTGACTGATGAAAAATTTTTCCCCCTTTGGTGGTATCTAGCAACTCATGGAGTTTAACATATTTGATGTGCTAAAATCCACTGCAGTTAGGGTCCTTTTCGATGCTCAAATAATTCTATCACTGGCCAGAGGCAACCTCTTCAAGTTGTCTCCTACAGTCTTTTGACATGAGCATAGACTTTGATAGCATCTTTGTTTTTGATGGGGCAAAATGTTTCTGGCTTATATGTTACCTGTCCCATATTTGGAACCAGGCTTGATTTCATTGAGGGGAGGGTGCTGAAGGAAAGTGCTGAAAGAAAGGAAATTGCTGAAGGAAAAAAGTATTTAGAGACTATAATCTAGAAACTAAGGTGGCTGACTACTGTTGGGGTTGGTCATTGTTTCTAGGCTTTTTCAGTGGATAGGCTAGGAAATTTTGTTTAAGAGAAAATATATCATGTAATATATTTTCAATGAAATATTTTTAAATATTTACTTTATTATTATTATTATTTTTTTGAGACTGGATCTGGCCCTGTCTCACAGGTTTGAATGCAGTGGTGTGATTGATCCCAGCTCACTGCAACCTCTGCCTCCTGGGCTCAAGCCATCTTCCCACCTCAGCCTCCTGAGTAGCTGGGACAACAAATACATACCAACATGTCCAGATAATTTTTTTTTTTGTATTTTTTGTAGAGATGGGGTTTCACCATGTTGCCCAGGCAGGTCTGGAACTCCTGAGCTCATGTCATCTGTGCCCACCTTGGCCTCCCAAAGTGTTGGGATTACAGGCATGAGCCACTGTGCCCGGCCCTAATTTTCAATTAAAATTTGGGATTAGAAGTTTTACTTGACTTCTTTGATTTTATATTTGCAACTCTTTTTTTTTCTGAAAAACTTGAGTCTTAACAACATTAACAATTATACAAAGTAATATATCTATATCTATAAAAACCAATTTTAGAATAGCAATACCAATATTATTAGCAATAATGTGACTCTTAAAAATAAATACCTTGAGATTTAGTTCTTCAGTTTTTTTTTTATTAGGGTATAATCCCACTAGGAATATATAATCAAATTACTGTGTTTTAGAGCCACTTGAAATAAATCTTCACTGTCTTTTAAGCCACTAACTCAATACACAGGTTTTTTGTTTTTTCCATGTTGTTTTAGAGTTTTAGAGATTATCCTAAAAATTAGAATAAAATTCTATAATGACAAAATATACATAAAAATTTTACCATTTTTCCTATTTTTTTCTTTTTTCAATGATCCTAGAAATCCTTCCAACTGACAATTTTTAAGTATATAGTACAGTGGCATCGAGTACATTCACATTTTGTGTAACTATCACCACCATCCATCTCCAGAACTTTTTTCATCTTCCCAAACTGAAACTCTGTACACATTAAACACGAACTGCTTGTTTTCCCCTCCCCTGATCCCCTGGCAACCACCCTTCTATTTTCTGTCTCTGTGAATTTGGCTACTCTACATACCACATATAGGTGGAATCAGGCACTATTTGTTCTTTTGTGACTGTCTTATTTCACTTAGTGAGGATTACTTTAAAGTTTTAGAATTAAGTGATATTTTAAGCCAGGCGAGGTAGCAGGCGCTTGTAGTCCCAGCTACTCGGGAGGCTGAGGCAGGAGAATGGCGTGAACCCCGGGGGGCGGAGCCTGCAGGGAGCTGAGATCACGCCACTGCACTCCAGCCTGGGCAACAGCAAGACTCTGTCTCAAAAAAAAAAAAAAAAAAAAAAAAAGAATTAAGTGATATTTTATAATTGTGTAAAACATCTACATGGTTTTGCAGTCAAATTTGCCAAATGAGCTTCATACAGAAGGACCTAGTTCCTTTTTTCTCTTTTCCGTAAGAAAACATCAGCAAGAAAGAGAGGTCCACTTTCTACTCTTGTCATTTCTTTTCCCCCTCATCCTCACATAGGTAACCACTTAATGTTTTTGGTTTGCCTTTCCCTGCCTGTAAAAAAAACTGTAAGTAAACAAAAAATAGATTTGTTCTTATTCCTTCTAAAATAGTTGCATATAAGAATATTAAATAAATAATAGTGTATCATAAATTCTTTCCTTTTTTTTTCTTTTTTGAGATGGAGTCTCTCTCTGTTGCCCAGGCTGGAGTACAGTGGTGCAATCTTGACTCACCACAACCTCTGCTTCCTGAGTTCAAGAGATTCTCCTGCCTCAGCCTCCCAAGTAGCTGGGATTACAGGCATGTGCCATGATGCTTGGCTAATTTTTTCTTTTTTTTTTTGTATTTTTAGTAGAGATGGAGTTTTGCTGTGTTGGCCAGGCTGGTCTTGAACTCCTGACATTAAGTGATCTGCCTGCCTTGGCCTCCTAAAGTGCTGAGATTACAGGCATGAGCTACCATGACTGGCCAAAAATTCTCAACCATTATGTTGCTTTATTAGCTTATCAATATATCATGGATATCATTCCTTATCATTTTAAAGAGATAGTTTCTTATTCATCTTTACAGCTCTTAACTCATAATTGCTAACTGATTTGTCAGCTTTGTAAAACTGGTAATACGATGGGTTCCAAGATGGCCGAATAGGAACAGCTCCAGTCTACAGCTTCCAGCGTGAGCGATGCAGAAGACGGGTGATTTCTGCATTTCCAACTGAGGTACCAGGTTCATCTCACTGGGGATTGTCAGATAGTTGGTGCAGGACAGTGGGTGCAGTGCACCGAGTGTGAACCAAAGCAGGGCGAGGCATCGCCTCACCCAGGAAGTGCAAGAGGTCAGGGAATTTCCTTTCCCAGCCAAGGAAAGGGGTGACAGACGGCACCTGGAAAATTGGGTCACTCCCACCCTAATACTGCGCTTTTCCGACAGTCTTAGCAAATGGCGCACCAGGAGATTATAACCCCGCGCCTGGCTCAGAGGGTCCTATGCCCACAGAGCCTCGCTCATTGCTAGATCAGCAGTCTGAGATCAAACTGCAGGGCGGCAGCGAGGCTGGGGGAGGGGCGCCCGCCATTGCTGAAGCTTGAGTAGGTAAACAAAGCGGCCAGGAAGCTCGAACTGGGTGGAGCCCACCACAGCTCAAGGAGGCCTGCCTGCCTCTGTAGGCTCCACCTCTGGGGGCAGGGCACAGACAAACAAAAAGACAGCAGTAACCTCTGCAGACTTAAATGTCTCTGTCTGACAGCTTGGAAGACAGTAGTGGTTCTCCCAGCATGCAACTTGAGATCTGAGAACGGACAGACTGCCTCCTCAAGTGGGTCCCTGACCCCCGAGTAGCCTAACTGGGAGGCACCCCCCAATAGTGGCAGACTGACACCTCACATGGCCGGGTACCCCTCTGAGACGAAACTTCCAGAGGAACAATCAGACAGCAACATTTGCTGCTCACCAATATTTGCTGTTTTGCAGCCTCTGCTGCTGATACCCAGGCAAACAGGGTCTGGAGTGGACCTCTAGCAAACTCCAACAGACCTGCAGCTGAGGGTCCTGACTGTTAGAAGGAAAACTAACAAACAGAAAGGACATCCATGCCAAAACCCTATCTGTACGTCACCATCATCAAAGACCAAAGGTAGATAAAACCACAAAGATAGGGAAAAAACAGAGCAGAAAAACTGAAAATTCTGAAAATCAGAGCGCCTCTCCCCCTCCAAAGGAATGCAGCTCCTCACCAGCAGCAGAACAAAGCTGGATGGAGAATGACTTTGACGAGTTGAGAGAAGAAGGCTTCAGACGATCAAACTTCTCCGAGCTAAAGGAGGAAGTTCAAACCCAATGCAAAGAAGTTAAAAACCTTGAAAAAAGATTAGACGAATGGCTAACTAGAATAACCAATGCAGAGAAGTCCTTAAAGGACCTGATGGAGCTGAAAACCATGGCACAAGAACTACGTGACAAATGCACAAACTTCAGTAGCTGATTTGATCAACTGGAAGGAAAGGGTATCAGTGATGGAAGATCAAATGAATGTAATGAAGCGAGAAGAGAAGTTTAGAGAAAAAAAGAATAAAAAGAAATGAACAAAGCCTTCAAGAAATATGGGACTATGTGAAAAGACTAAATCTACGTCTGATTGGTGTACCTGAAAGTGACGGGGAGAATGGAACCAAGTTGGAAAACACTCTGCAGGATATTATCCAGGAGAACTTCCCCAACCTAGCAAGGCAGGCCAACATTCAAATTCAGAAAATACAGAGAACGCCACAAAGATACTCCTCGAGAAGAGCAACTCCAAGACACATAATTGTCAGATTCACCAAAGTTGAAATGAAGGAAAAAATGTTAAGGGCAGCCAGAGAGAAACATCGGGTTACCCACAAAGGGAAGCCCATCAGACTAACAGCGGATCTCTCGGCAGAAACTCTACAAGCCAGAAGAGAGTGGGGGCCAATATTCAACATTCTTAAAGAAAAGAATTTTCAACCCAGAATTTCGTATCCAGCCAAACTAAGCTTCATAAGTGAAGGAGAAATAAAATCCTTTACAGACAAGCAAATGCTGAGAGATTTTGTCACCACCAGGCCTGCCCTACAAGAGCTCCTGAAGGAAGCACTAAACATGGAAAGGAACAACTGGTGCCAGTCATTGCAAAAACATGCCAAATTGTAAAGACCATTGATGCTAGGAAGAAACTGCATCAACTAATGAGCAAAATAACCAGCTAATATCATAATGACAAGATCAAATTCACACATAACAATATTAACCTTAAATGTAAAAGGGCTAAATTCTCCAATTAAAAGACACAGACTGGCAAATTGGATAAAGAGTCAAGACCCATCAGTGTGCTGTATTCAGGAAACCCATCTCATGTGCAGAGACACAAATAGGCTCAAAATAAAGGGATGGAGGAAGATCTACCAAGCAAATGGAAAACAAAAAAAGGCAGGGGTTGCAATCCTAGTCTCTGATAAAACAGACGTTAAACGAACAAAGATCAAAAGAGACAAAGAAGGCCATTACACAATGGTAAAGGGATCAATTCAACAAGAAGAGCTAACTATCTTAAATATATATGCATGCACCCAATACAGGAGCACCAGATTCATAAAGCAAGTCTTTAGGGACCTACAAAGAGACTTAGACTCCCACACAATAATAATGGGAGACTTGAACACCCCACTGTCAACATTAGACAGATCAATGAGACAGAAAGTTAACAAGGATATCCAGGAATTGAACTCAGCTCTGCACCAAGTGGACCTAATAGACATCTACAGAAACTCTCCACCCCAAATCAACAGAATATACATTCTTCTCAGCACCACACCGCACTTATTACAAAATTGACCACATAGTTGGAAGTAAAGCGCTCCTCAGCAAATGTAAAAGAACAGAAATTACAACAAACTATCTCTCAGACCACAGTGCAATCAAACTAGAACTCAGCACTAAGAAACTCACTCAAAACCGCTCAACTACATGGAAACTGAACGACCTGCTCCTGAATGACTACTGGGTACATAATGAAATGAAGGCAGAAATAAAGATGTTCTTTGAAACCAATGAGAACAAAGACACAACATACCAGAATCTCTGGGACACATTTAAAGCAGTGTGTAGAAGGAAATTTATAGCACTAAATACCCACAAGAGAAAGCAGGAAAGATCTAAAATTGACACCCTAACATCACAATTAAAAGAACTACAGAAGCAAGAGCAAACACATTCAAAAGCTAGCAGAAGGCAAGAAATAACTAAGATCATATTGGAGCAGAACTGAAGGAGATAGAGAAACAAAAAACCCTTCAAAAAATCAACGAATCCAGGAGCTGGTTTTTTGAAAGGATCAACAAAATTGATAGACTGCTAGCAAGACTAATAAAGAAGAAAAGAGAGAAGAATCAAATAGATGAAATAAAAAATGATAAAGGGGGTATCACCACCGATCCCACAGAAATACAAACTACCATCAGATAATACTATAAACACCTCTATGCAAATAAACTAGAAAACTAGAAGAAATGGATAAATTCCTTGACACATACACTCTCCCAAGACTAAACCAGGAAGAAGTTGAATCTCTGAATAGAGCAATAACAGGCTCTGAAATTGAGGCAATAATTAATAGCTTACCAAACAAAAAACGTTCAGGACCAGACGGATTAACAGCCAAATTCTACCAGAGGTACAAGGAGGAGTTGATATCATTCCTCTGAAACTATTCCAATCAATAGAAAAAGAGGGAATCCTCCCTAACGCATTTTATGAGGCCAGCATCATCCTGATACCAAAGCCTGGCAGAGACACAACAAAAAAAGAGAATTTTAGACCAATGTCCCTGATGAACATCGATGCAAAAATCCTCAATAAAATACTGGCAAACCGAATCCAGAAACACATCAAAAAGCTTATCCACCATGATCAAGTGGGCTTCATCCCTGGGATGCAAGGCTGGTTCAACACACACAAATCAATAAACGTAATCCAGCATATAAACAGAACCAGAGACAAAAGCCACATGATTTTCTCAATAGATGCAGAAAAGGCCTTTGACAAAATTCAACAGCCCTTCATGCTAAAAACTCTCAATAAATTAGGTATTGATGGGATGTATCTCAAAATAATAAGAGCTATCTATGACAAACCCACAGCCAATATCTTACTGAATGGGCAAAAACTGGAAGCATTCCCTTTGAAAACTGGCACAAAACAGGGATGCCCTCTCTCACCACTCCTATTCAACATAGTGTTGGAAGTTCTGGCCAGGGCAATCAGGCAGGAGAAAGAAATAAAGGGTATTCAATTAGGAAAAGAGGAAGTCAAATTGCCCCTGTTTGCAGATGACATGATTGTATATCTAGAAAACCCCATCGTCTCATCCCCAAATCTCCTTAAGCTGATAAGCAACTTCAGCAAAGACTCAGGATAAAAAAATCAATGTGCAAAAGTCACAACCATTTTTATACATCAATAACAGAGAAACAGAGAGCCAAATCATGAGTGAACTCCCATTCCCAATTGCTTCAAAGAGAATAAAATACCTAGGAATCCAACTTACAAGGGATGTGAAGGACCTCTTCAAGGAGAACTACAAACCACTGTTCAATGAAATAAAAGAGGATACAAACAAATGGAAGAACAGTCCATGCTCATGGGTAGGAAGAATCAATGTCGTGAAAATGGCTATACTGCCCAAGGTAATTTATAGATTCAATGCCATCCCCATCAAGCTACCAATGACTTTCTTCACAGAATTGGAAAAAACTACTTTAAAGTTCATATGGAAGCAAAAAAGAGCCCGCATTGCCAAGTCAATCCTAAGCCAAAAGAACAAAGCTGGAGGCATCACGCTACCTGACTTCCAACTATACTACAAGGCTACAGTAACCAAAACAGCATGGTACCGGTACCAAAACAGAGATATAGACCAATGGAATAGAACAGAGCCCTCAGAAATAATACCAGACATCTACAACTATCTGATCTTTGACAAACCTGACAAAAACAAGAAATGAGGAAAGTATTCCCTATTTAACAAACGGTGCTGGGAGAACTGGCTAGCCATATGTAGAAAGCTGAAACTGGATCCCTTCCTTACACCTTATACAAAAATTAGTTCAAGATGGATTAAAGACTTAAATGTTAGACCTAAAACCACAAAAACCCTAGAAGAAAACCTAGGCAATACCATTCAGGACATAGGCATGGGCAAGGACTTCATGTCTAGAACACCAAAAGCAATGACAACAAAGGCCAAAATTGACAAATGGGATCTAATTAAACTAAAGAGCTTCTGCACAGCAAAAGAAACTACCATCAGAGTGAACAGGCATCCTACAGAATGGGAGAAAATTTTTGCTATCTACTCATCTGACAAAGGGCTAATATCCAGAATCTACAATGAACTCAAACAAGTTTACAAGAAAAAAACAAACAACCCCATCAACAAGTGGGCAAAGGATATGAACAGACACATCTCAAAAGAAGACATCTATGCAGCCAACAGACAGATGAAAAAATGCTCATCATCACTGGCCATCAGAGAAATGCAAATCAAAACCAAATGAGATACCATCTCACACCAGTTAGAATGGCGATCATTAAAAAGCCAGGAAACAACAGGTGCTGGAGAGGATGTGGAGAAATAAGAACACTTTTACACTGTTGGTGGGACTGTAAAGTGGTTCAACCATTGTGGAAGAAAGTGTGGCGATTCCTCAGGGATCTAGAACTAGAAATACCATTTGACCCAACCATCCCATTACTGGGTATATACCCAAAGGATTATAAATCATGCTGCTATAAAGACACATGCACATGTATGTTTATTGCGGCACTATTCACAATAGCAAAGATCTGGAACCAACCCAAATGTCCAACAATGAGACTAGATTAAGAAAATGTGGCACATATACACCATGGAATACTATGCAGCCATAAAAATGATGAGTTCATGTCCTTTGCAGGGACATGGATGAAGCTGGAAACCATCATTCTCAGCAAACTATCGCAAGGACAAAAAACCAAACATCGCATGTTCTCACTCATAGGTGGGAACTGAACAATGAGAACACTTGGACACAGGAAGGGGGACATCACACACAGGGGCCTGTTGTGGGGTGGGGGGAGGGGGGAGGGATAGCATTAGGAGATATACCTAATGTAAATGATGAGTTAATCGGTGCAGCACACCAACATGGCACATGTATACATATGTAACTAACCTGCACGTTGTGCACATGTACCCTAGAACTTAAAATATAATAATAAAATAAAAACTGGTAATACTTAGGAATACAGTTTGAGGTTACATACCATTTACTTTCCTAACACTTGTTGAAAATCTGCAGCAAATGCATTTGAAGGAGAAAAATGTTCTTGTGACATCAAAGGATTTCTTGTAAAAGTATCACTAATCTGGAGAAATTAATGGAACTATTTAACCTATATAGATCATTTTAACTGGAGAATTATAGAACAAACATTCATTTGAAGCAAAGTCTAGCAGAATCCTGAAAAATAAAAGAAAACACATCATTTTTGGCTTTTTGGTGGCAGGGCATCCTTTCCATTTAAAGATGGCATATTCATAAACACCGTGTTTGTCCCAGTCTTACACGCTGCTGTTGTACAGATTAGAACCTCATACAGTATGATTGCAGGTGCTATTCCTTGATATATCTGAGGACTTGAGGGGAAGAACAGATGTTTACCTCTGGCAGACAAGGAAAGATGGAATTTTATGGTATTTTTAAAATAGTGCTTTCATTTTCCTCTCTCACCCATACCCTCAAAATCCATTCAACAATAATGAAACAATGCTAAATAAATGTCTTAATAGAAGTACTTAATGAATTTCTCAGAAGCAGTGGTAAAAATGACATGGTTAGTAATGTTGTGTTACCTAGTTTTGGAAAGGTTACAGAGTTGGGATGTTTTGTCATAATACATAGAAAAGAAAAAAAATTACAGTACATTAAGCTAAAATGACTTACAGTGTTTAACATCTGGACTCTGGCAATTTTCTAGGCATAATTGTGGAGTTAATTTTAATATTTAGGCCTTATAGCCTTTAACTCTATATTAGTTTGAATTGGGTTAAAGCAAGCAGATATATTAAACAGAAAATATATGCATGATTCATGAATGTGACTGGCAAATAACTACTACATTGGTAACTATAGTATAGCTGACTAATTTTCGCATTAATATTTTTTACTAAAATATTTATCCTGAATTATATATTTATAAGTAATTTGAAGATTAGTATAATTTACTTTTTAAAATAAGAAACAGTCACACTATTTGAACCATAAAATTACCAGAATAACGGTTTGGCTCTAGTCTGTCTCAAAGACTGCGTTTCATGAACTCTCCTTCTGCTCAGAGATCACACTCAGGATGCTATGAGCAGCAGGTGATATCTAGTGAGAAGGTTAATCACCTTTTAAGATATTTATAAAAATCTTATGTATCTACATAAATACATACACAAAAGTACTCTGTTTATCATAGTTTAGACATGCTGGCTATTGTCAGTTAAAACTTTCCCTAGAGATGGTATGTCTTGATTTAAAAAACATTTTTTGATTAACTCTTCTAATTGATATATATACTTTAACACAAGTGTCTTTAGACTACCGATCTAAAAAATTTTTGATCACTTACCTCCTCACATACATACTTTGTAAATTAAGTACATGTGCCATTGAAAAAGTATATTAAACACTAGAGTAGCTTAATTTCTTTCTTAATTTTAAAACAAAATAAATATAAGGAGAGGTTCTAATAAATCTGAGTGGATGATCTTTGCAGGCCTTACTTTAGGGCCAGGCGAAGTATGGAAACACGAGCCAGATGAGTGATGCAGGTAATAAATCTCTGAAGGTCATGAATGGCTCTGCTTTACATATAGCAGGTGAGTGAGCTGCTTTTGGTTAGCACACTACTACTAATAAACTATAAAGCAGAGACCTCACAATTTCAGTAACTCAAAAAGTCCTTACAGTACAATAAAATTACTTACGTTTTTAAGAAATGCAGATGGTGTCACAGAATCCAAAGCATTGTCTGTAGCACATACATAAGTGATTCCATCAATAAAGACAGTATGGCAAACATAGCTTTGAAAAGAAAACATGATAATATTAAAGAAGTACCCACACAGAGAATTTAACCTCATTTTTCAAGCTTTCATTAGTGGTATTAAGAACTATATAGATAACTTTTTATAATCAGAATAATTGGATGGGTGCAGTGGCTCATGCCTATAATCTCAGCACTTTGGGAGGCTGAGGTGGGAGGATTGCTTGAGCCCAGGAGTTGAAGATTGGCCTGGGCAACATAGCAAGACCCCATTTCTACAAAAAATACAAAAAAATTAGCTGGGCATGGTGGTGCACGCCACACTGTATTTCCAGCTACCTGGGGGGCTAAGGTGGGAGGATTGATTGAGCCAGGAGGTTGAGACTGCAGCGAGCCATGATCACGCCACTGTACTCCAGCCTGGGCGACAGAGTGAGACCCTGTCTCAAACAAAAATAAAAAAACCAAAAACAAAGAAGCATAATAATTAGAAGACCTCTCATATATTTGAAAAATTGAAGTAAATTATGTTAAGTGAAATCTGTAGAATTTAAATATGTATTTAAAATTGCATCAATAAAAATAAATCAAAGAGAAAACTAATAATTTGGTATATATATATATTTTATTTTTTGAGATGGAGTCTCACTCTGTCGCCCAGGCTGGAGTGCAGTGGTGCAATCTTGGCTCACTGCAACCCCTGCCTCCCGGGTTCAAGCAATTCTCCTACCTCAGCCTCCCGAGTAGCTGGGATTACAGGCATGTGCCACCATGCCTAGATAATTTTTGTATTTTTAGTAGAGACAGGGTTTCACTATGTTGGCCAGGCTGGTCTCGAACTCCTGGCCTCAAGTGATCTGCCTCCCATGGCCTCCCAAAGTGCTGGGATTACAGGTGTGAGCCACCACGCCTGGCCTATATATATATCTATATTTGAAGTCACTCACATTCTAAGACTGAATCAAGATTCTGACTAAATAGAAAATGCTATGTTTGGCTGGATGCGGTGGCTCATACCTGTAATCCCAGAACTTTGGGAGGCTGAGGCGGGTGCATCACGAGGTCAGGAGTTCAAGACCAGCCTGGCCAACATAGTGAAACCCTGTTTCTACTAAAAATACAAAAAATTAGCCAGGTGTGGTGGCGGGCACCTGCAATCCCAGCTACTCGGGAGGCTGAGGCAGAAGAATCGCTTGAACCCAGGAAGTGGAGGTTGCAGTGAGCCAAGATTGCGCCATTGCACTCCTGCCCAGGCGAAAGTGTGGGACTCTGCCTGTAAAACAAAAACAAACACAGAAAATACTATGTTCATTGAATTTTAGTATGTCTATATTTTAGGTAGACATATTTAATTTTGGTACATCTTGGTTTTCTATACATTAGAATTAAAAATTTGTAAACTGCAAATACCAAATATTCAGGATGAGTTGGGGAGGGAGGAATGAATGTTAAAGTGAACCACAGTATGTTAAAATGAACCTTAGCATGACCACTCAACCATCTAGACCTTTCTGCCTTCTCAGAGTCCCACAGTAGGGGCTAGAATCCCCTTGGAAAGTGCCTCCATCCTTTACTGCCCAACAATC
Source organism: Homo sapiens (assembly GCF_000001405.40). Lineage (NCBI taxonomy): Eukaryota > Metazoa > Chordata > Mammalia > Primates > Hominidae > Homo > Homo sapiens. The sequence continues at coordinate 82,294,142 of NC_000004.12, read as the reverse complement.
CAGAAAATGCAGGAATATGCAACAAAAATAGTTGCTTGGTGCCTAGACTTTAGTCTTTGTGAATACTATCTCTAAATGGTTAACAGGCAACAGACATGGTCAAATGCTAAATTGAATATATATGAGAATGAGGAAACTCAGAAACAGGAAGAAAAGATAATTTCAGAGGCAGAAAATTTAACATATGAACCCTTTCAGTGTAAATCCTTCACATCATATCATGAATACAATATGCTACAAATGTTTTTAATGATTATATTGATTTATACACATAATCTCCACCTAGAAAACATTTTTATTTAAAAATTTGGTGGAGTCCGCTGAAAAAGAGTTGCTAATTGTACCATCTATCTGAAAGTTACACATGTAATTTGAAGTAAATTGATACTGCATGTGAAAAAGAGATATTTTAAATTTATGCTTAGTATGTTATTAATACTATGAGTAATATTCAGAAAGCATCTATAATCTTAAAAACAACTTGAATATCTGATGTTCAGGAGATATCATTAATTGACAAAAGCCAGGTGGAGAAAAGTGTGCATGATGTGCTATCATTTATCTATCACATCATACGCTACCATAAGGGAAGTTCAAATGTACATACAGTAGTCTCTTATTTGTGGCTTCACTTTCTGTGGTTTCTGTTACTCATGGTCAACCGCAGTCCAAAAATAGGTGAGTAAAATGCAATGAGATGTTTTTGTGAGAGAGAGAAAGAAAGATGACATTTACATAACTTTTGTTACAGAATATTGTTATAATTGCTCTATTTTATTATTATTGTTGTTAATTTCTTATTGTACCTAATTTATACATTAAATGTTATCATATATGTATAAAAACACACAGTATATTTTATAGGGTTTGGTACCATCTGTGGTTTCAGGTATCCACAAGACTGGGGGTCTTGGAATGTATCCCCCTCAGATAAGGGAGGGCTACTGTATGTACTCTATATTGTGTTCTTTTTTTTGAGACAGGGTCTGGCTCTCTCACCCAGGCTGGAGTGCAATGGTGTAATCTCTGCTCACTGCAACCTCCACCTCCCGAGCTTAAGCCATCCTCCCACCTCAGCCTCCCAAGTAGCTGGGACTGCAGGTGTGCACCATTATACCCGGCTAATGTATTCTTATAGAATGTATTTCTTATAGGAAAAAAGAAAAGAAAAAAAGATAAACCAAAAACTTGTTCAAAATGGTTACCTACATAGGGGGAAAGAGTAGTAAGGAGAGGAACAGAATGCAAATTAGACTTCTCGAAGGAACTGTTTTGTAGATTTGACTTTGGTACTGCATATATATTTTGCATAATAAAAATGTTATTAATGAAACTTTTAAAAAAAGTAACCATTAGGTCCGGGCACGGTGGGTCACGCCTGTAATCCCAGCACTTTGGGAGGCCGAGGTGGGCGGATCACAGGGTCAAGAGATCGAGACCATCCTGGCAAACATGGTGAAACCATGTCTACTAAAAATACAAAAATTGCTGGGCATGGTGGCGCGCACCTGTAATCCCAGCTACTTGGGAGGCTGAGGCAGGAGAATCGCTTGAACTTGGGAGGTAGAGGTTGCAGTGAGCCAAGATTGCACCACTGCACTCCAGCCTGGCGACAGAGCGAGACTCCGTTTAAAAAACAAAGAAAAAAGTAACCATTAGAAATCAGAAACAAAATGAGAAAGATGGCTTTGTATTGAGTGATCAAGGCAGGAGATGATGGTGGCTTGGTTACTATTTGGAGAGGACAGGCAATGGGATTTGCCCATGGATTGGATTTCAATATAAAAGAGACAAGAGTCAAGAATACTATAGGTTTTAGGCCTGAGGAACTAGAAAAGTGATATGTGGAAGACTTCTGGAAGAGGCTTAGCTTTGGATATGTTTGAGATACTTTAATTAGACATTCAAGCAGAGTGGAACAAGTGGGTATACGAGTCTGGAGTTCAGAAAAAAAGGTCTTCAAAAGATTCAAATTAGAATGTAGAACACAGGTAAGCAAACAGCAAATAAGGAAAGTATCTCTTTTTAAAATCATTTCAGCTAATTTTGTCTGTGAATACAAAACTAGATTATTACCATTTTGCAATCCCTTATAAATTAGTGGCTCTTGGGCCTAGCAATGAGTATCGATAGCTGCTAACATCTCAAAAGGAGATATAATCAGATACCATGTACCATCTGATGCAAAAACACTCGTACTATAGTCCTGCTGAAGGGGTTGAGCCTCTGGGTTGGCTACTTGGTAAATGGTGACCTGAATTTTGAGTATGCAATCAGCAAACCTACACTGTGGGAAACTCTGTCAGTTCTTCAACAATAAACTGCAAGGGAAAAAGAAAAAAAGAAATGGAGGGGGAATAAGTGTATTTAAAGAGATTTAAAAGACATCAAATTAAAAAATGGGCAGGATTGGGCTCCCATCTGAGGATGTGTATTTGGGTGCTGATGCAATGAAGAAACAGGGAAATGACTACTATGGAAGCTGGGATGGTGTCTGATTTTGCTGGGATGGTGTTTGATTTTGCAGGGATGGTGTTTGATTTTGCAGAGATGGAGGAAGCGGTGAATGGGACAGGACATATGGTGGGGGTGGCTGGCAGTATTCCGTTTTCTTTGGCCTAGATGATAATTGCTGCTGGAGAGAGTCCCTTGCTACACTTCACAAAGCTATACATTCATTAGATGTGATATCTTTGTTTCTCTGTTTTACTTACGATAGAAAGGTTAAAACAAACCTACTCTAAAAAAAATGAAGAGCCTTAAAAATAATAGAATCTTTCTTTTCCCTCACTTCCTCCTTTACTAGCAACTGTTTTCAAGACTGATTTAGGCCATACCATGTAATGTCCTAAGTGAAGCTTAAGAGTGATGTCCACTGTTTTTTGTTGTTGTTTTGTTTTGTTTTGAGACAAGGTCTTGCTCAATTGCCCAGGCTGGGGCGCAGTGGTGCGATCACAGCTCACTGCAGCCTTGACCTCCCTGGCTCAGTTGATCCTCCCACCTCAGTTTCCCAAGTAGCTGGGACTATACAGGTGCTTGCCACCACACACAGCTAATTTTTTGTAGAGATGGGGTTTCACCATAGTGCCTAGGTTTGTCTCAAACTCCTGGGCTCAAGGGATCCACCCGTCTCAGCCTCCCAAAATTTTGGGGTTACAGGCGTGAGCCACCATGCCCAGCCAGCCACTGTTCTCATTCTTATTAAAGATATTTTAAGGTAGATGTTTCCTTTTTTATTAATGAAATGTTTTGGGTATACCCAAAAGAATGGAGAATAAGATAACAAGAACACTTTTAGACCTGTCTAAAAGTGCTAGACTAGTTAGATAAGGTTAATATATCCTCTTTATACCCTTCCTTAAATTTATTTTCTGTTTTCCATTTGAAAAGGTAAACACTATCTTAATTTGGTGTTTATCATCCCCATTCCTGATTTTATACTTTTACAGATAGAAGTTCTCCTTTCTGAGGGTTCGATCAAGAGTATGTGTAACTAGTGTTTACGTCATCATCGGAATTATTTTCTGGTAATTGTTCAAAAACAGATCTGTATTAGAACTTACTTTACCTTCCCATTTGAATTATGGTCTTTGGTTCAGCTCTAAGAAGCACTAATCTAAGCACTTTTGCCACTGCTTCCTAAAAATAAATTGTCAGCATTTACTTTGCAGAAGATTGTAGTGTATTTCATTATTCTCCTCCTAAATTTATCAATGTTCTAATTAGTTTATTAAGGAAAACCAGTTCACTAGGAGAACTAATGAGTGGGGATTCATAATGCATGGTAACAGTCAAGTGATCCTGAAATATTCATATGAATCTGAAGAAAAATATTAAAACCACATAAATATACATATAATATACACATATATGTGTGCAAATATAGGTTGAACTACATAATCTTATTTTTATTTTTTGTTTTTTTTGAAACGGAGTCTCGCTCTGTCGCCCAGGCTGGAGTGCAGTGGCGCGATCTCTGCTCACTGCAAGCCCTGCCTCCTGGGTTCACGCCAGTCTCCTGCCTCAGCCTCCTGAGTAGCTGGGACTATAGGCGCCCGCCGCCACGCCCGGCTAATTTTTTTGCATTTTTAGTAGAGACGGGGTTTCATCGTGTCAGCCAGGATGGTCTCGATCTCCTGACCTCGTGATCCGACCGCCTCGGCCTCCCAAAGTGCTAGGATTACAGGCGTGAGCCACTGCACCCGGCCCCATTTTTACTTCTTTTGTGATACTGCAGTTGCTTCAGGCCATCTGGATCAATAATCTTATTTTTACAATCATATCTTATACATGGTTTCAAGGCTGGAAAGCACTATCTAATCAAACATCTTTTCAGTAACCACTAGCTACTGAAACTATAAATAAAATGTTAATAGTTAAGGATATTCATCTTTTATTTTCTGAATACCCTAAGCAGTCTTACCTTATTTTTTAAGATAAAAATTTTTATTCACTATTGTTCACTGATCTCTTTCTAAAAAACAAACAATTGCTAAGAACTCTTATACCTGTTTCTTATAAGGCTCATTCTTTGGGGAAAAATTTGTAAGATACTATGACTATCCAGAATAACTTAAATGTAATCAGTTATATGCAGTCCCATTAATTTACTTTAGAAGTGTTAAAGAAATCTGAAAGTTACCCAAGAAGTCTTGAATGGCTATAATCCCAATTAATTTTTCCATTTTCACAAAATAACAAGAAATAAAAACATTTATGGAAGGGTAAAAGTTATTATTAATGGTAGAAAGTAAAACCTGAAACTCTTGGTATTGCCTGAAAAGTCCCAGTGATATTTTCTAGGAAAGGATTTCCTAAAAAACTTGAAAAATTAAAGGGACACACAAACTCTCAATTATTAGTAATGGAACATATTCCCACATTTTCCCCCAAGTGTCTCTTTTAGTGTATAGTGTAAACATTGGTATCTTAGCAAAATTTGAAACAAAACAAATGGCAATATGAGGCAGTAAAATGAATGGCAAAGTGGGTTCTAGTTGTGTTTCTAGAATTAATGTGTTGCATGACTTAGTGACTTGTCTGGGTCTGTTTACTCGTGGGAAGAATGAAGAGATTGGACAGATGATCTCTAGGATCCCGTTCAGTGCCAGGATTCTATAATAGCAGTTAGTTGGATCTCATGATTAAACTTTGGTACTCATGTTTTTCAAATGGATATAAAATTTTTTATATCCTTGGCATTGAGGGAAGATGTGATACTTTTTTCTTTCCTTTTAACCTGAACTATTTCTTGAAGCTCCTTGCTATTCTTTTTCTCCTCCCTAGTCAGCTTTCTGCACAGCAGTCATTCCAGGCCTTCAGTGCTCTCCTCCAATTATATACTGCCTTATACCTCTACTTTCTTCCCTTCCTGTATGCTTCACCAAGAGAGGTCACTTGGGGCTTATGAAAGATTTTAGTTTTCTCTCTCCTTTCTTAATTAACAAATTAAAAAAACATTTATTGAGAACTTACTGCCTATTATGTATTAGGCATTGGACACCGGAAAGACAGAGATGAAGACTGTCCCTGTCCTTGAGTTCGATGGCAGAGACAGACAAGTGAAAGAAGATTCTAATTCAGCCTGGTAAGTAGTTTGGTAGAGGAATGTAAGTTAACCTGTGTGTAGTGGAGGCTTCAAGGAGAAAAACTGAGAAGAGTCTCAAAGCATAAATGTTATACTGCCCCAAAATGGAGAAAAGTAATTTCCAGGTAGAGGGAAAAGGAGATGCAGAGGGAGACCATGGTGAGATAGCAGAACAGCACGAAATTCAGGATAGTTGGAGCACATGGGTATGTGGGAAAGGGAAGGAGATAACCAGAGAGGGCCTTGAGTGCCAGGCTAAGGAGTGTGGGTAATGTAATCAGTAGCCACCAAATTATTTTAAGCAGGGGAGTGATATGATCCTATTTGCTTTTAGGAACTATCATTGGGGCAGCAGTGTGGAAATTGTTTTTTAGTAGGACAAGGCTGAAGTCTGGGAGATTAGTTAGGAGGTGTTTTCAATAAGCCTGGTGAGAGGGGCTGGGATGAAGACATGGTTCAGAAACAAGGAGATAGATTTGAGATATACTCAGGAGATACAAAACTGATAGAACTGGGTGATGAATGAACAGATGTGAAGCGGAAGAAGGGAAACAACTGGAGGTGACTCCCAGTTTCCAGCTTGAATAGCTCAGTAGAGCTACTAAGCAAGATCAGAAATAGTCACGTGTCACTTAACGACAGAGATACGTTCTGAGAAATGAGTCATTAGCCAATTTGCTTGTGTGCAAACATCATAGAGTGCACTTACACAAACCTAGATGGTCTAGCCTACTACACACCTAAGCTATTATGGTATTGCCTATTGCTCCTAGGCTACAAACCTGGACAGTATGTTACTGCACTGAATATTGTAGGCAATTCGAGCACAATGGTATTTGTGTATGTAAATGTCATAAACATAGAACAGGTACAGTAAAAATGTGGTATTATAATCTTATGGGACCACTGTCATATATATGGCCTGTCATTGACCAAATCATCATTAGGCAGTGCATGACTGTATGCAAGGAGGAATCTGTTAGGAAAGACAATTAATTTAGTTCTGGACATGATATGTTCTATTAGGCAATCTAACTCAGGAGAGAGATAACTTTGGAAGTGGGTTTGGCTGTAATCAGAGGAAAGGTGTCTATGGATGTGAATGAGTGTGTCAAGTTAAAAGAGGACTACAACGAGAACCTTAAGGAACACAGCATGTAAGGGATTGGTAAAGAAGAGAGCCCCAGGAGGAGACTGAATCATATGTCTATATTCACATTCTCCTTTCCTGAAGAGAAAGAGGGTATTCCCCTAATCTGAGGCTCACATCTCTACTGCCAAATTGGATTCCATCCTTTTGTGCCCCTTAAAGCCTTACTCCACCAATAGCCCCCTCGTCTCTTATATCTTTGACCTTTTCTTTCCATTAGCTTAACTTACATGTGAAAGTTTTCCTTATATTAAAAAAATGAGGTGCCTTCCTGGATCATGCTGCATCTAGCTTTCACTCCATCTCATTCCCTTTCTAAATTTTTGAAGGAACAGTCTAACCTCATTCTCCCTACTTTCCTATCTCTCACTCATTTGGCGTAAAGGTACTGGGCTTCTGCCTCTGCTCTTCTCCCAAACTGCTTACAGTACAATCACCAATCATCTTCCCATTGTAGAGTCTAATGAACACCTTTTAGTTCTTGCTCAAGGTGTTGACTGGACTAGACATGAACTTATTGGGGACATGCTCAACTTACTGGGGATATGAGAAATTCTTGTAAATTTCTTCTTTTGGCTTGTAGGACACCACAGCTCACATTTGGTGACCCATCTCTCTACTTTCTTCTTAAACCATGTTCTGCCTTTTGGTCCTCCTCTTTTCTCACTTTCTATACATTTCCCGGGCAGTCTTACCCATTTCTACTCCTTTTAACGGTCAGTCTTGACTCTCTGAATGCTAGAGCAATATATTCATTACCTACTAGACATTTTTCTGACTTAAAACCCTTTGGAAATAGGTGGAAAAATAAATACACATATAGATTTGGCCATTTTCAACAGGTAACAAAATTCAGCATGTCCCAAACTCTATTCTTCTCCCCTACATTCCCTCCCACCATTTTTCTCCTCTTTCTATGTTCTCTTTGTAGTTCAATGCCACCTACGAAAAAATTCTGAGGCTTATCCTATGCATTACCTTGTCCAGCATCTGACATATTCAACCAGTTATCAACTCCTGAGAATGAAGTTTAGAGAGTCTCCTTAGGGGCCAGGCTCGGTGGCTTGTGCCTGTAATCCTAGCACTTTGGGAGGCCGAGGCAGGCAGATCATCTGAGGTCAGGAGTTCGAGACCAGGCTGACCAACATGGAGAAACCCCGTCTCTACTGAAAATACAAAATTAGCTGGGTGTGGTGGCGCATGCCTGTAATCCCAGCTACTTGGGAGGCTGAGACAGGAGAATTGCTTGAACCCGGGAGGCAGAGGTTGCAGTGAGCCGAGATTGCGCCATTGCACTCCAGCCTGAGCAACAAGAGTGAAACTCCGTCTCAAAAAAAAAAGAAAGTCTCCTTAGGATCTGCCCCTTCTTTCCATTTGCACCATCATTGTCTTAGTGCAGGCCCATCCATTCTAAATGGATATCACCCTCCCAATCTACCTTCCACATTGTAACCAGACCAAACTTATCAGAAGGTAAATCAGATCTTGCTATTCCTCTGTTTATAAATCTTAGTTGCTCCCCAGGTTCTCTGGGATGAGAAAACAGCTGTATATAGGACCCTTCATTTGCTGTCTTCTGCCCACTTTCCTGGCCTTATCTCCAGCCTCTACACCCTCATCCTTGTGTTCCAGCCACACTGAGGTTCCTGGGAATCTGCAGACACACCATGCTCTTTTCTCTGCATGGAGTTCTCATTCCCCTTTCCTGTGCCAGGCTAGGACTAATTCTTACAAGTTTATAAGCCAAGAGCCCATCTTGAAAACTACAAGAACAATCGCAACCTACCTCCGTTGAAATACTTTTTACACTCTAGGACAATTGTCTATAGCCCTTGGATATAAAGGGGCAATGCCAGGCTCATGTTCACTGCTGAATCCGTGATATTCTTTACTCTGGGATTTTGTGACAGAGATATGTTCAATAAATGTGTGCTGAACTGCAGGTCATTTCTCCGCAGGAGAAAGACAAATTTTAGGGTCTATCAAAGTTGGACCTGGGTTCAAATAGCCACCAAACCCAGCACGTGCAGCGCCAGCTCTGTCCCCTAGGTGGCGCACGTGCGGCAGCCGCCGGGACGCCAGCCTCTCGCGGGGGCGGGGCCTCTTGCGGGGGCGGGGTCTCTCGTGGGGGCGGGATCTCTCGCGGGGCGGGAGCTTGTGTCCCCCGAGCAGGTTCCGGACCACCTCGCAGCGCCGCGTCCTTAGGGGCGGGCTCGGGGGGCACCACCCTCGAGGGGCGGAACCCGTGGGGGCGGTGGCGTGGATCCGGAGGTACCTGGTAAGAACCTCCAGTCAGTGTCAGCTCCGCTAGGACCGCTCGGCCATTAGCAATGCAGCTGTACATGATCGTCATAGCAGGCGGGCCAGTGAAGGAAAGGCTCCTCTGGACCCAACCGTCCGGGACAGCCTCGGGGCGGTGACCGGGGCGGGGCTTCGGGAGAGGGCGGTGCGTGCGCAGGCGCGAAGAGGGACTGATTGGCAGGGAGAGAGGCGGGGCCGTCTCCAGCCCTAGCGGCGCGTTTGACGGGACACGGGCGGGGTCTCTGGAGAAACCTGCTTTGGGTGGCAGCCTTTCTCCTTAAAATCATTTGTCGAGCGCCAGTGTACTTCATAGTGTTTACCTCCTTATGATTTATTCACAATCTAGAGCATGTGAAATGTAGACCTTGATTTTAAAGAAAATTAATTCATTAATCCAGGCATTTATTGAACTCCGGCTGTGCGCTAAATGCCTTAGATTCCTGGGTATGCAAGTAGGTCGGCCCCGACCTTGAAGTTGAGGAGTTCATATTCTAGTAGTGGTTACAGAGGCACAGGCGGAGAAACGCCAGTCTCAAGTGGTATGCGTGTGCTATCAGGGAAAGATGAACAAAGCTGCAGAAGATGGGATGGAGAGCTAGCAAAGCTTTAAAAGTCCTTGACTTAGAGGATGGGTTGGCGTTCTCTAAGTGGGGAGGAAAGAAAGATAGGAGAGTCTAGGCAGAGGGAATAGCTTCTGTAAAGGCTTGAAAGAAGGCAGGTGGGTTTGGGGGATGAGTGTGGCAGAGAAAAGGTGTATGAGAGAGTAGGTAGGAGGGCAGAGTGGAAGGAGTGGTAGCATGACTTTTGTTGTCTTAGACCTTGGGTGCCTTGACAATAATTTTTTAAAAGTGTGACCTTATATATTTTCATCACCAAGGTATTGTGGTAGAGTGGAAAGAGTTTGCCTTTGAAGTCAGACAAACTTAGATTCATATATGGGCATTGCCCATGTACTCCATGAGTTTATGTAACTTAATCTTTCTGAGAGTCAGTTTCCTAGTTCATAAAATGGGGGTAATTGTCAAGTTTAAATGAAATAATTATGCAAAAATATTAGCATACAGTAGTTATGCAATTGCAGTAATTTGTGATAAGTACATATTACTTTCTTGCTCCCAATGGTGTAATCTTTTTTTTTTTTTGAGACAGGGTCTAGAGTGCAGTGGCATGATCACGGCTCACTGCAACCTCCACCTTCTGGGTTGAAACGATCCTTCCACCTCAGCCTCCTGAGTAGCTGGGACCACAGGTGTGTGCCACCACGCCTGACTAATTTTTGTATTTTTAGTAGAGACGGGGTTTCACCATGTTGGCCAAACTGGTCTTGAACTCTTGACCTCAAGTGGTCCACTCTCCTTGGTCTCCTAAAGTGCTGGGATTACAGGTGTGTCACTGCGCCTGAACCCAATGGTGTAACCTTAAAGAATGACAATCAGTATCCTTCTGGGTGTCTGGGTGAAGGCAGGTAGTCAATTCCATTTCCTTTAACACAGGGTAATCAAATTGGATTTGACAAGGAAGGAGCGAAACTGGTCTGCACTATAGCTCCTGAGAAAAATGCCTTGTTGAATCATGTATCCTATATACAGGAAATCTCGAATCAGTGTGTCTTATCAGCTTGATAAGTGTGTCTGTGTTACAGGCAGGGTGACTGATTAAAACCACTGGTCACATTACTTATACCTGGGAAGAGGAAATTTGTTAACTCTGGGGTAATGCTTTTGCTTACCCCAGGGTCTTGCTTACAGTAAAAACAAACCGAATAAACCTCACCACAAATCTATCTTTTTTGAGCCCCTTCTCCCTGGTGAGCTTTCAGCACAGCAGTCATTCTAAGCCTTTAATCCTCCCCTCCAATTGCATACTGTCCCTTGTGCTTTCTTTCCTTCCTGTATGTTTTCTGTATGCTGTATTATGCCTGATAGCCAAGGCTTACTCTAGTCAATGCCAGGTTTCCTCACTTAACTCAGGATTTCTCCCTTTCCTTCTTTCCCCATGGGGTGGCATCTCTGAGTGTGGGAAACTTGGTGGAGGGAAAGAGCTTCCAATTAGTGACCTTCGTCCCTCTAAGGTGGAATCTGCAGCTAATGTTTGTTTTCTGTCTGTCTCTGATCACCAGTCACACACTCTACTTGGAACCCCAAGGCCCCTTTAGGTGCTCTGTTTCTCTTTCAGTCACTTTTTTGGTCCTCTTGGAGGCGAAGAAAAATTCCCACTGCTCCCACATGTCATTGTGAGGCTGCGGGTGGCTCCAGAGGCTGTGTCACAATATGCCCTCCTGTCGCACTCTCCTGTTGTGCTGTGTCACTGCTATCATGTGGGGAGCAGCTTTTAGACCTTACTTCATTTGGGAAGCAAGCTCTTGGATCCCCAATTTACTAGGAGTCTTCTCATCACCACACTATGTCACCCCTCACTTCCTAGAGAGGGCTCTAGCTAGTTGGAGTGCTTCCTTCTCATTCTGTCCTTCTCTGACATGTGGACATTCCAGCAAGTCTAGGTAGGGCAACTCTGACCACCCTGGGCGTTTTCCCAGTTGATGCCATGAACGTTGATTGTCTGAAACCTTTTTTTCCCCATATACTCTGTTTTCAGAGAGTTCCCAAAATCTATTTTGAAACTTTTTAGAATGAGAAGCTTTTCTGTCTTACTCTCTTCTTCCTCCATCTCTCCTTCCTCCTCCTCCATTTTTTTCATTCTCCATTTTTGTGCCAAAGAGAATAACTGAGAATGAAAACCACGGCAGGTAATATAAAATATCACAGACATTTCCACCTTTCCCTTGATAGTTTGATACAATCTTGAGGATGCAGCAGAAAGAGTGGTGAGAAGCTAGGATCCTGGGAAGGTGAAATGGGACATTTCACTGTTGTTAATTTCTTTCACAACATGCTTTTAGACTCATCAGTACTTTGACTGGTGAATACTACTATCATTGCTTTTTATTTTATTTATTTTTGAGACAGAGTCTTACTCCGTTGCCCAGGCTTGAGTGCAGTAGCACGATCTCGACTCACTGCAACCTCTGCCTCCTGGGTTAAAGTGATTCTCCTGCCTCAGCCTCCTGAATAGCTGAGATTACAAGTGTGCACCACCACACCTGGCTAATTTTGTATTTTTAGTAGAGACAGGGTTTCATCATGTTGGTCAGTCTGGTCTCGAACCCCTGACCTTAAGTGATCCGACCCCCTCAGCCTCCCGAAGTGCTGGGATTACCTGCGTGAGCCACTATGCCTGAATTATCATTGCTTTTTAGAGGTTAGCTTCCCAGAAGGAAGAGCAACTAATTTTTTAGTCATCTGACTTCTTAGGTCATTAGAGAGTTTGTAAGTGTTTTTGTCAGCTGGAGACTTTCAAGCACTCACTAATTCAAGATGAGTCTTATTAAGTATTGAAGTTCTCTCATAAAGGACTGTTTTTTTAGTTATTGTTCTTCAAAATGGAACATTTTTATAATTTTTTTATTTACGTATGTGATCACTGTAAAAATTTAGGCTGGGCACAGTGGCTGAAGCCTGTAATCCCAGCAGTTTGGGAGGCCCAGGTGGGAGAACCACCTTAGCCCAGGAGTTCAAGACCAGCCTGGACAACATGGTGAAACCCCGTCTCTACAAAAAATAGAAAAATTAGCTGGACGTGATGGTGCGCACCTGTGGTCCCGGCTACTTGGGAGGCTGAACTGGGAAAATTGTTTGAGGCTGAGAAGTCAAGGCTGCAGTGAGTCATGATCGCACTGCTGCACTCCAGCCTAGGCAATAGAGTGAGACCTTGTCTAAAAAAAAAAAAAAAAGTAAACAATACTAGAGTAAAAGCCTGTCTATTTTTACCATCCCATAAAAGAACCACTGGAATAATCTAATTTATATTTGTCTTTTCATTTTTGTGCATTTTATATACATTTTTCTGAAAATTTTTTTTTTTTTAGACCGAGTCTTACTCTGTTTTCCAGGCTAGACTGCAGTGGTGGGATCATAGCTGACTGCAGCCTCGAACTCTTGGTCTCAAGTGATCTTCCTGCCTTCGCCTCCTGAGTAGCTGGGAGTACAGACAAGTGCCGCCATGCTCTGCTAATTTTGTTCTTTTTATTTTTAGGCAGGGTCTCACTGGTCACCTAGGCTGGAGTGCAGTGGCACAATCTTGGCTCACTGCAGCCTTGACTTCTCAGAATCAAGCTGTCATCCTACCTCAGTCTCCTGAGCAGCTGGGAATACAGGCACATGCTACCATGCCTGGCTAATTTTTGTACTTTTTGTAGAGACTGGGTTTCACCATGTGGCCCAGGCTGGTCTTGAACTCCTGGACTCAAGAGATTCATCTGCCTTGGCCTCCCAGAGTGCTGGGATTACAGGCGTGAGTCACCATGCCCAGCCTGTTCTTTCTTTTCTTTTCCTTTTTTTTTTTTTTGAGATGGAGTCTCCCTCTTGCTGCCCAGGCTGGAATGCAGTGGCGTGGTCTCGGCACACTGCAACCTCCATCTCCTGGGTTCCAGAGATTCTCCTCCTCAGCCACCCAAGCAGCTGGGATTACAGGTGTGTGCCACCACGCCTGGCTAATTTTTATATTTTTGGTAGAGACGGGATTTCACCATGTTTGCCAGGCTGGTCTCGAACTCCTGACCTCAGGTGATCTGCCTGCCTTGGCGTCCTAAAGTGCTAGGATTACAGGCGTGAGCCACCGTGCCTGGCCTGTTTTTTAAATTAACAATGTTTTCTTTGACTATCATATATATATCTCAGATGTTTCTTTTGAGGTTTATTATTTGATTTTTCTTTTTCTTTATGGTGTCTATTTTTTTATTTAGACATTTTTGTTGGACCTTAGTGTCATACTAGGCAAGGCCTCTTTTTCTATCCCCATCCCCAAATGTAAATGTTTTCTTATTTTTTTCTGTTACTTTTATATGTTTGTTTTAATGTTTAAATCTTTAATCCACCTGGAATTTGTTTTTGTGCCCTTTATGAGGTTGGAATTTGCATCTTCCCAAATGGACAGCCAACTATTCTATTTTTTTAATTATACTTTAAGTTCTGGGGTACATGTGCAGAATGTGCAGTTTTGTAACATAGGTATACACGTGCCATGGTGGTTTGCTGCACCCATCAACCCATCAGCTACATTAGGTATTTCTTCTAATGCTATCCCTCCCCTAGTCCCCCACCCCCCAACAGGCGCTGGTGTGTGATGTTCCCCTCCCTGTGTCCATGTGTTCTCATTGTTCAACTCCCACTTATGAGTGAGAACATGCGGTGTTTGGTTATCTGATCTTGTGATAGTTTGCTGAGAATGACGGTTTCCAGCTTCATCCATGTCCCTGCAAAGGACATGAACTCATCCTTTTTTATGGCTGCATAGTATTCCATGGTATATGTGCCACATTTTCTTTATCCAGTCTAATATTGATGCACATTTGGGTTGGTTCCCAGTCTTTGCTATTGTGAATAGTGCTGCAATAAACATACGTGTGCATGTGTCTTTACAGTAGAATGATTTATAATCCTTTGGATATATACCCAGTAATGGGATTGCTGGGTCAAATGGTATTTCTAGTTCTAGATCCTTGAGGAATCGCCACACTGTCTTCCACAATGGTAGAACTAATTTACACTCCCACCAACAGTGTAAAAGCATTCCTATTTTTCCACACCCTCTCCAGCATCTGTTGTTTCCTGACTTTTTAATGATAGCCATTCTAACTCGTGTACGATGGTATCTCATTGTGGTTTTGATTTCCATTTCTCTGTTGACCAGTGATGATGAGCATTTTTTCATATGTCTGTTGGCTGTATAAATGTCTTCTTTTGAGAAGTGTCTGTTCATATCCTTTGCCCACTTTTTGATGGGGTTGTTTTTTTTCTTGTAAAAGTGTTTAAGTTCTTTGTAGATTCTGGATATTAGCCCTTGGTCAGTTGGATAGATAGCAAATTTTTTCTCCCATTCTGTAGGTTGCCTGTTCACTCTGATGGTAGTTTCTTTTGCTGTGCAGAAGCTCTTTAGTTTAATTAGATCCCATTTGTCAATTTTGGCTTTTGTTGCCATTGCTTTTGGTGTTTTAGACATGAAGGCTTTGCCCATGCCTGTGTCCTGAATGGTATTGCCCAGGTTTTCTTCTAGGATTTTTATGGTCCTAGGTCTTACGTTTAAGTCTTTGATCCTCTTGAGTTGATTTTCATATAAGGTGTAAGGACAGGGTCCAGTTTCAGTTTTCTGCATATGGCTAGCTAGTTTTCCCAACAACATTTATTAAACAGGGAATCTTTTCCCCATTGCTTGTTTGTGTCAGGTTTGTCAAAGATCATATGGTGGTAGATGTGTGGTGGTATTTCTGAGGCCTCTGTTCTGTTCCATTGGTCTATATATCTGTTTTGGTACCAGTACCATGCTGTTTTGGTTACTGCAGCCTTGTAGTAAAGTTTGAAGTCAGGTAGTGTGATGCCTCCAGCTTTGTTCTTCTTGTCCAGGGTTGTCTTGGCTATGTGGGCTCTCTTTTGGTTCCATATGAAGTTTAAAGTAGTTTTTTCCAATTCTGTGAAGAAAATCAGTGGTAGCTTGATGGGGATAGCATTGAATCTATAAATTACTTTGGGCAGTATGTCCATTTTCACGATATTGATTCTTCCTATTCATGAGCATGGAATGTTTTTCCATTTGTTTGTGTCCTCTCTGATTTCCTTGAGCAGTGGTTTGTAGTTCTCCTTGAAGAGGTCCTTCATATCCTAGGTATTTTATTCTCTTTGTAGCAACTATGAATGGGAGTTCACTCATGATTTGGCTGTCTGTCTATTATTGGTGTATAGGAATGCTTGTGATTTTTGCACATTGATTTTGTATCCTGAGACTTTGCTGAAGTTGCTTAAGGAAATTTTGGGCCGAGACGATGGGGTTTTCTAAATATACAATCATGTCATCTGCAGAGACAATTTGACTTCCTCTCTTCCTATTTGAATACCCTTTATTTCTTTCTCTTGCCTGATTGCCTTGGCCAGAACTTCCAATACTGTGTTGAATAGGAGTGGCGAGAGCGGGCATCCTTGTCTTGTGCCGGTTTTCAAAAGGAATGCTTCCAGTTTTTGCCCTTTCAGTGATATTGGCTGTGGGTTTGTCATAAATAGCTCTTATTATTTTGAGATACGTTCCATTGATACCCAGTTTATTGAGGGTTTTAGCATGAAGCAGTGTTGAATCTTGTCGAAGGCCTTTTCTGCATCTATTGAGATATTCTGTGGTTTTTGTGATTGGTTCTGTTTATGTGATGGATTATGTTTATTGATTTGCATATGTTGAACCAGCCTTGCATCCCAGGGATGAAGCTGACTTGATCATGGTGGATAAGCTTTTTGATGTGCTGCTGGATTCGGTTTGCCAGTATTTTACTGAGAATTTTCGCATCGATGTTCATCAGGGATATTGGCCTGAAATTTTCTTTTTTTGTTGTGTCTCTGCCAGGTTTTGGTATCAGGATGATGCTAGCCTCATAAAATGAGTTAGGGAGGTTTCCCTCTTTTTTAATTGTTTGAAATAGTTTCAGAAGGAATGGTGCGAGCTCCTCTTTGTACCTCTGGTAGAATTTGGCTATGAATCCATCTGTTCATGGACTTTTTTTGGTTGGTTAGCTACTAATTACTGCCTCAATTTCAGAACTTGTTATTGGTTTATTCAGGGATTTGACTGCTTCCTGGATTAGACTTGGGAGGGTGTATGTGTCCAGGAATTTATCAATTTCTTCTAGATTTTCTAGTTTATTTGCATAGAGGTGTTTATAGTATTCTCTGATGGTAGTTTGTATTTCTGTGGGATCAGTGGTAATATACCCTATATCATTTTTTATTGCATCTATTTGATTCTTCTCTTTTCTTCTTTGTTAGTCTGGCTAGCAGTCTATCTATTTTGTTGATCTTTTCAAAAAACCAGGTCCTGGATTCATTGATTTTTTGATGGGTTTTTCCTATCTCTATCTCCTTCAGTTCTGTTCTGATCTTAGTTATTTCTTGTCTTCTGCTAGATTTTGAATTTGTTTGCTGTTGCTTTTCTAGTTCTTTTTTTTTTGTCAGAATCAGACTTTATTTAACAATCTGAAAATGTGTTCTTCTGGCTTTAAGTCTTGCAAAATGGGTCATAAGTCAAAGACAGATTTATTCACTGTCCTCTGAGTATGTGTGGTTATGTCTCTGTGTAGACAAGTGTCTGTGTCTATAGATACTTTTGCTTTTTATAGTGATTATAGCTCCACCTTAATGTATAAAGTCTTATTCTAATAATGCTAAAACCTGAATTAAATATTCCCTGAGTCTAATGTTCTCTTCTCCTCCCCAGCCTGCCTCCCTCCATCCCTCCCTTAAGGCTGCTCCTCCACCTCCATTAATGCCAGGTCTTTAGACAGCACCATCATTCTTACTGAGAACCCAGGGATGGATGCTGTCTATTATATCCCTCTGACCTATACCCTCTGGTTGAAGAGCTTCTCTGGGGAGGTGTGGGGCTTGGGGAATCTTGGCAGTTTCTCTTCAGAGTTGTGCATTTTCACTTGTAGATACCTCTTCTTGAGGTTCAGGTGCTGTGAGGTTGCTCTTGTCTGGTACTGTGGAGACTTTAAGCTGGTCTTGGCCCTCCGAGGAGTCAGCTGAGACAAGCTTGTTATCATTTTCCTTGTCTTCCATCTTCTTTGCCTCTCCAGGCTCTGAAGCAATGTGAGATGTCATTAAGGTGGGGGAAGTACAAAGTTCTTCGAGGTTCTGATTGTGGATGTTTTCATTTTCTTTGGCCTCAGGAGTTCTTACTGGCTTCTCTGGTGGTTCTGGATTAGGAGAGACCTCTAGGGAGGTCCTAGGACTTGGAGTCCCAGTCCCCAAGGAGGCCCTAGGGCTGGTGGGTGAACCCCCTCCAGAGGCTGGAGGGCTGGAGGGTATGTTCCCTGAGGAGGGCCTGGGGCTTGCAGTGGCTCTGGGTGGAGGAGGCCTACTAGGGGGTGCTGAGGTCCTCTGGATAGAGGCTCTCTTCTTTGATTGTTCAGATTTGTCACCTGCGGTGCGGGTTCGGAGGACTACTTCTGCGGCAGATGATAAAGGGTGTCCTGAAGGGCTTAGGGCTCCACCTGGTGATAGAGCAGGGGAGCTGGGGGGAACTTCTTCCTGGGACCTGGCACTCTCAATGATAGGAGAGGGCTGGGCCTGGGAGGGGCCGTTGCAGGTTAGTAGAGGCTCTTCTTCCTCAGAGGAGCTTGCTTCAGATCCTTCCTTCCCTATTTCCTCATCTTCTAAGAGCTCCTTGATCTCAGAATTGTCTTCCCCCTGGGCTGCATCAGGTGCCAGATCTTCAGTTGCTGAGACAGATTCACTCTTACTCTTCGAGGAAAGTGTAGAGGGACTAGTAGGTGAGGTAAGTGGACTGGAGACTGTAGATGTTCGAACTGGGGGAGAAATGACTAAAGAGCGCCTGCTGCTGCTTGATAGTCTCTTCACCACAAAGACTTTACTGGAATGTTGCTTCTCCAGTTTGCTCATCACCTCGGAGAGATTGTGGTTCAGTTTGCTCATTTCCCTGTAGAAGACATCCCTCAAGTTGGAAATGTTTTGGAAGATGGTCACATAGAGCCAGTATGACTATTATAAAGAATAGACAACTCCTCTAGTAGTTTGTTGATTTGCATATGTTGGTTCAGATCTTCACACACAGTCTGGGCTTTGTTGAACTATTCCTCTGCCTTGGCAGTCTTGGCCTCATCTTTCTTGGCATTCTGCACTGCCTCCAGGTGATGTCGGGCACTGTCACAGTCCACGAGTTTCCACCCCGCTTGGCAATTCTCTCCTTACTTTTGCTGAACTGGGTAATGTACTTTTCCATGGTCCTCACAGCCCGATCAGCAAGTTTCTCCTCTAGTCTTCCCAAAGGAGATCATTATTCTCTATGATGGCCTTCAGCTCCTCATGACCATCCCACTCACTGCTGTAGATCTCCTGCAGGGTTTCTTACACTCTTTTTGAGCTTTCATGCATCACTTTGACTGCACTAAGGAAGTTCTTCAGGTCCTTGTATAGTTGTGGCCTTCTGCCTGTTGTTGGTAGAAGTTGTTAGCACTTTGTTCAAATTGTTCATCTTTGGTTTCTACAGTTTTCCCCGATTTCTGCAGCACCTTCTCCTGGGCCCTGCTGAACTTCTGCACCTGCTTGGTGAAGAGGCCGGCTGTGCTGCCCGCCTTGCCCTCTGCCATCCTGCCGGCTCCCTGGGGGCTGCCACCCTGGCCCCATGCCCTGTGGTTTTCTTGCTTCCCTAGTTCTTTTAATTGTGATGTTAGGGCGTCAATTTTAGATCTTTCTTGCTTTCTCTTGTGGGTATTTAGTGCTATAAATTTCCCTCTACACACTGCTTTAAATGTGTCCCAGAGATTCTGGTACGTTGTGTCTTCGTTCTCATTGGTTTCGAAGAACATCTTTATTTCTGCCTTCATTTCTTTTTACACAGTAGTCATTCAGGAGTAGGTTGTTCAGTTTCCATGTAGTTGTGTGGTTTTGAGTGTTTCTTAATCCTGAGTTCTGGTTTGATTGCACTGTGGTCTGAGAGACTGTTTGTTGTGATTTCTGTTCTTTTGCATTTGCTGAGGAGTGTTTTACTTCCAATTATGTGGTCAACTTTAGAATAAGTGCGATGTAGTGCTGAGAAGAATGCATATTCTGCTGATTTGGGGTGGAGAGTTCTGTAGATGTCTATTAGGTCCACTTGGTCCAGAGCTGAGTTCAAGTCCTGAATACCCTTGTTAATTTTCTGTCTTGTTGATCTGTCTAATGTTGACAGTGGGATGTTAACGTCTCCCATTATTATTGTGTGGGAGTCTAAGTCTCTTTGTAGGTCTCTAAGAACTTGCTTTATGAATCTGGGTGCTCTTGTACTGGGTGCATATATATTTAGGATAGTTAGCTATTCTTGCTGCATTGATTCCTTTACCATTATGTAATGCCCTTCTTTGTCTCTTTGATCTTTGTTGGTTTAAAGTCTGTTTTATCAGAGACTGGGATTGCAACCCTTGCTTTTTTTTTTGCTTTCCATTTGCTTGGTAAATATTCCTCCATCCCTTTATTTTGAGCCTATGTGTGTCTTTGCATGTGAGCTGGGTCTTCTGAATATAGCACACTGATGGGTCTTGACTCTTTATCCAACTTGCCAGTCTGTGTCTTTTAATTGGGACATTTAGCCTGTTTACACTTAAGGTTAATATTGTTATGTGTGAATTTGATCCTGTCATTATGATGCTAACTGGTTGTTTTGCCCATTAATTGATGCAGTTTCTTCATAGTGTCGATGTTCTTTACAATTTGATATGTTTTTGCAGTGGTTGCTACCAGTTGTTCCTTTCCATGTTTAGTGCTTCCTTCAGGAGCTCTTGTAAGGCAGGCCTGGTGGTGACAAAATCTCTCAGCATTTGCTTGTCTGTAAAGGATTTTATTTCTCCTTCGCTTATGAAGCTTAGTTTGGCTGAATATGAAATTCTGGGTTGAAAATTTTTTCCTTTAAGAATGTTGAATATTGGCCCCCACTCTATTCTGGCTTGTAGGGTTTCTGCAGAGATCTGCTATTAGTCTGATGAGCTTCCCTGTGTGGGTAACTCTACCTTTCTCTCTGGCTGCCCTTACCATTTTTTCCTTCATTTCAACCTTGGTGAATCAGGCAATTATGTGTCTTGGGGTTGCTCTTCTCAAGGAGTATTTTAGTGGTGTTCTCTGTATTTCCTGAATTTGAATGTTGGCTTGTCTTGCTAGGTTGGGGAAGTTCTCCTGGATAATATCCTGCAGAGTGTTTTCCAACTTGGTTCCATTCTCCTCGTCACCTTCAGGTACACCAGTCAAACATAGATTTGATGTTTTCACGTAGTCTTATATTTCTTGGAGGCTGTGTTCGTTCCTTTTTATTCTTTTTTCTCGAATCTTGTCTTCTCTCTTTATTTCATTAAGTTGATCTTCAATCTCTGATATCCTTTCTTTTGTTTGATTGATTCAGCTATTGAAACGTGTGTATGTTTCACGAAGTTGTCGTGCTGTGTTTTTTAGCTCCCTCAGGTCATTTGTGTTCTTCTCTACACTGGTTATTCTAGTTAGCCATTTGTCTAACCTTTTTTCAAGGTTCTTAGCTTCCTTGCATTGGGTTAGAACATGCTCCTTCAGCTCAGAGGAGTTTGTTATTACCCACCTTCTGAAAACTACTTCTGTCAATTTGTCAAACTCATTCTCTGTCCAGTTTTGTTCCCTTGCTGGCGAGGAGATGTGATCCTTTGGAGGAGAAGAGGCGTTCTGGTTTTTGGAATTTTCAGCCTTTTGCACTGGTTTCTGCCCATCTTTGTGGATTTATCTACCTTTGGTCTTTGATGTTGGTGACCTTTGGATGGAGTCTTTGAGTGGACATGCTATTTCTTTCTGTTTGTTAGTTTTCCTTCTGACAGGCCCCCTGCTGCCCATCTGCTGGAGTTTGCTGGAGGTCCACTCCCAAACCTGTTTGCCTGGGTATCAACAGCGGAGGCTGCAGAACAGCAAATTTTGCCGCATGATCTTTCCTCTGGAAGCTTTGTTCCAGAGGGGCACCTGTCAGATGCCAGCCAGTGCTCTCCTGTGTGAGGTGTCTGTCGGCCCCTACTGGGAGGTGTCCCCCAGTCAGGATACATGGGGGTCAGGGACGTACTTGAGGAGGCAGTCTGACCCTTAGCAGAGCTTGAACGCTCTGCTGAGAGGTCCGCTGCTCTCTTCAGAGCCATCAGGCAGGGACGTTTAAGTCTGCTGAAGCTTTGCCCACAGCTGCCCCTTTCCCCAGGTGCTCTGTCCCCAGGGAGATGGGGGTTTTATCTATAAGTCCCTGACTGGGTCTGCTGCCTTTTTTTCAGAGATGCCCTGCTCAGAGAAGGGAAATCTGGCAGTCTGGCCACAGCAGCCTTGCTGAGCTGCTGTGGGCTCCACCCAGTTTGAACTTCCCAGCAGCTTTGTTTACACTGTGAGTGTAAAACCACCTACTCAAGCCTCAGCAATGGCAGGCACCCCTCCCCTCACCAAGCTGGAACATCCCAGGTTGATCTCAGACTGCTGCTGTGCTAGCGGCGAGAATTTCAAGCCCGTGGATCTTAGTTTGCTGGGCTCCGTGGGAGTGGGGCCTGTTTAGCCAGATCACTTGGCTCCCTGGCTTCAGCACCCCTTTCCAGTGGAGTCAGCGGTTCTGTCTTTCTAGCATTCCAGGTAACACTGGGGTATGGAAAAAAAGAACTCCTGTAGCTAGTTCGGTGTCTGCCCAAATGGCCACCCAGTTTTGTGCTTGAAACCCAGGGCCCTCGTGGGGTGGGCACCGGAGGGAATCTCCTGGTTTGCAGGTTGTGAAAACAGTGGGACAAGCATAGTATCTGTGCCGGCGTTCCTCAGGCTCAGTCCCTCACGGCTTCCTTTAGGTGGGGGAGAAAATTCCCCGATCCCTTGCACTTCCCGGGTGAGGCGATGCCCCACTGTGCTTTGGCTCACCCTCTGTGGGCTGCACCCACTGTCCAACCAGTCCCAATGAGATGAACCAGGTACCTCAGTTGGAAATGCAGAAATCACCTGCCTTCTGTGTTGATCTCACTGGGAGCTGCAGACCGGAGCTGTTCCTATTTGGCCATCTTGCCACAGAATCCTACTGCCAACTATTTTATAAGACTTACTGAATATCCTTTCCCCACTCATTTTTTTTTTTTGAGGGATGGGGTCTCACTCTTATCACCCAGGCTGCAGTGCAGTGGGGTTATCATCACTCACTACAGCCTCGAACTCCTGGCTCCATCCTTCCATCTCAGCCTCCCAACTAGCTGAAATTATAGGCATGAACCACTGCATCTGGCTTCCACAGTAATTTGAAATGCCACTTTTACCGTAGGTTAAAGTCCCATATATATATATGACTTTATATATATATATGACTTTATATATATTGTATATTGTTCTATATATATATATTGTTCATTGGACTTTAGGGTTGATTTCTGTGCTCATTTCTGTGCTAATATCACAATGATTCGGTAATTGTAGCTTAAATGACTTTACATTTAACAATTTGGAGATAATTAATATATTTACAATATTCAGTCATTGAGTCTTCCCATCTAGAAACATGAGTTGTCTTTCTGTTTATTCTACTGACTTCCTATGATCTTTTTCATAAAGGCTTGACAAATTTTTGTTACATTTATTCTGGGATATTTTGGCTGTTCTTGTTAATGGAATTTGTTCTCCATAAGGTTTTCAAACTGGCTAATTTTGGCATGTAGAAAATCTATTAGCTATATTTAATTATTTGCATATAGTCCGTGCTCCATTATATTTTAATTTCCTTAAGGCCAGCGGCTTCCCATAGAGCTCAAAGAGCTTTGCTCAGCATGAACATGACATAGGATACTATTGCTGACTGTCATATTAGTCTTTTCCACTATGCTTAGCAACCAGTGGAGGAAACCTCAGGTAACAGTATTTGTGGAAACTGGATAATGATTCAAGGTAGCGTAGTAAGAAGACACTGAAGGGACTTTGGCATCAAGCATACCTGGATTTGAATCCTTACTTTGCATCTCTGAACTACACTTTGTTCCTTAGGCTCATCTCTGTGCCTAATTCATAAAATGAGCTAAGGCATATAAAGCATAAAGCATATAGTGACTGGCCCTTAGTAGGTGTCCATAATGGGGGTAGCCGTAACAGATGGCAGTTATGATCATGATGGTTTCATATTTTCATGTAACCAAATCTATCCATTAAGATGCACATTACATTTTTTTTTTAATTTCTTCCTTTTCTTTTTTTTTTTTTTTTGAGACCAAGTCTCACTCTATCGCCCAGGCTGGAGTGCAGTGGCACGATCTCGGCTCACTGCAACTTCTCCTCTTGGGCTCAAGCGATCCTCTCACCTCAGTCTCCCAAGTAGCTGGGATTACAGGCATGCACCATCCCACCAGGATAATTCTTTGTATTTTTAGTAGAGACGGGGTTTCGCCATGTTGGTCAGGCTTGTCTCAAACTCCTGACCTCAAGTAATGCGCCCGCCTCGGCCTCCCAAAGTGCTGGGATTACAGGCGTGCACCATCATGTCTGGCTAATTTTTGTATTCTTTTTGTAGAGATAGGATTTCATCCTGTTGCCCAGGCTGGCCTTGAACTCCTGGGCTCAAGCAGTCCTCCTGCCTCAGCCTCCCAGAGGGCTGGGATTACAAGCATGAGCCACGGCACCCGACCCACACCTGGGTCTATATTTACAAAACTTTATGGAAGGTATATTAATATAAATAATAAAAAATCTATAAAAAGAGTTATTTGAAGTGTTGGGTGTGTGTGTGGGGAAGGGTGCGTGTGAGATGGGCTGGTCAGGAACACTACAAACCTGTGATTACAGAGTGGTTGTATCAAATATTTCCTTTGACCTTCAGAAATACCATATATCCCAAATCCAAAAACAGTCATTTGCTACCTGAACCTTCTGCACCAGCTACCAATTGTGAAACTCAACATGATGGGCTTCTGTTCTTTGCCTAAATCATGGTGAAAACATTCACACAAAGCCATTAGTTCTCTCTCTCTCTGTGTCTCTCTTTCTTTCGATGAGGTGTCTGTCACCCAGGCTGGAGTGCAGTGGTGCGATCTCAGCTCACTGCAACCTCTGCCTCCCTGGTTCAAGCGATTCTCCTGCCTCAGCCTCCTGAGTAGCTGGGACTACAGGCATGTGCCACCATGCCTGGCCAATTTTTGGGGTATTTTTTTTTTTTGTAGAGACGGGGTTTCACCATGTTGCCCAGACTGGTCTCGAACTCCTCAGCTCAAGCTCGAACTGCCTCAGCCTCGAGTGCTGGGATTATAGGCGTGAGCCACTGCACCGAGCCCAAGATGAATATTTAAGAAAGTCCAGCCTGGACTGTGTGAGGTACCTCTTTATACGTTTAGAGGACATGTTTGAGTCATCATTTAAGGCATATGTTATAGGAATTTTCTAAAATTCTTCGTTTTGAAAAGTGTGTTATATGTCAGTCTCCCCTCACTAGCTTGTAAATTTCCTGAGAGCGGGGACCATGTATTACCAAATCTTTTTATCCTCAGTACCTCACACAGTTGTGGACACAAATTAAGTGGCTGCATTTCATAGTATGAAGTACAATAATTTATTTAATCATTCCCTTCCTGTCTCCACTTTTTTTTTATAATACAAAAGAGGTTGAATTTTCATTTTTTGCTAAGAAGTATAGCCAAATTTAAGACAGCATGTACAAGTGGGAAACATTGCTGAAGGCCACCCAAATGTGGGCATTGTACTATCCTGTGGTTGTTTTAAATGTAGCTGGCATGTGAGAGCCAGCAGAGGGAGCACAGAGCACAGCGTTGAGGGAGAAAGCAGCCTACAGTTGTGCTAGGGAAGAATTGAAGAGGACACTCAGGGATTTTACAGAGGAAGGAAATGAGAGCTGGGAAGAAGGTCATTTCTCATCTTCATTCTTGTCTGCCTTGCTCTCTTTTGTAACTCATTCAGGCTCAGACAGGCTTGTTCTTATCTTTTGTCCCCTGCACTGCAGCTTTCCACAGCCCATTCCTGTCCTTTAGTTAATTACACAAGAAGACCCACAAGTGCCATCATGTTCTCCACGCTGGTTTCTTTTTGGGCCAGCTCAGTTACTTAGCTCAGATGCAGCGGGTAAGTATTGGTGAGATTCCCAGAAAAACACTGAGGAACCCAGGAGCCTTGATCACACATCTGTACTGAATAAAGCCAAGTGGGGACCTGAAGGATGGGAGAGAGGACTGGGCTTAGCTCATCTCTGCACTAGGATTTAAAGAGGCAAATGAAGCCTGGCCAGGGGAGTGCTGTAGGGAGTGGGGTTTCTGGAGAGAGGAAGGAATACCACTTCCTGTTATATTGTCTTGCATAAGCAGATCTGAGGCAAGCACAGAACCACATGTGACATGTCCCCGGTCACAAAGAAGCCAATGTAGACTGGAGTTTCTCAGCTTTTCCTGTGCAATACTAGAGTGTTAATAGGTATTCTGTAAGAATAAGATTTGTCATCAAATGTGTGTGTGGATTGAAAAAATTAAACAGTTTTCTTTACTGTGGGAGTCCTTAGGTCCTTCATTAGGCATGTTAATATAGTTGGTGAAATTCTGATAGAAGGGGCTATGCTATGTGGGCTTTCCCAGCTTATGTGGACTGAATTTATTTTATTTTATTTTATTTTAGAGACAAGGTCTCACTATCTTGCCCACACCTGAACTCCAGTGCTCAAGCAATTCTCCCACCTTAGTTTTTTGAGTAGTTTGGACTATAGGTGCATGTCGTCATGTCTGGCTTAATTTTTAATAGATGGTATCTTACGAGATGAGTATACTATGAATTACATTTTGGAAAGTGTTGAAACAGATTTGCCTAATGTTTAGGAAATTAGGTCATTAAACCATGAAATACAGTCGTAACACTTTCAAAAGGGCACTGTCTTCTAAGGTCTCCCGTGGCTTTTCATTCCCAGGGAGGTGTGGAGGGGTAGGATGGTGAAGGGAGGCATATCAGAATCCTGAGTGGGGCTTTTTGAAATCTCTTCCTCTCAGTTATTTCAATAACATTCTTACTATCTCTTCCTCATAGTTGAGGACCTTTTGAATAGTGAGCCACTGCTATTACTGGAAATGATTGCATCTCTCAGGTGTATTGGAGGAGAGAAAGCAATTGTAAACCATTGTTCTACAAGTTGAGTCAAAAATTCTCTACATGGCTGGGCATGGTGGCTCATGCCTATAATCCCAGCACTTTGGGAGGCTGAGGTGGGAGGATCACTTGAGCCCAGGAGTTCAAGATCAGCCTGGGCAACATAATGAGACCCTATCTCAAAAACAAACAAACAAACAAACAAACAAACAAAACCCAAATTCTCTACATGTTGTTTAAGGTTTTCTATTGCATTCTCCAACTCCAGTGTTTTCCTTACTTTAACCTTCTTCTCCTCCCCATGTTAATCACTACCATAGCCAATTTAGTTTACTCACTTACCTGAGATTATATTATGCCAGTGACAGACTGGAAGCTTGTGGTTATACAATCTTTCCCATGTTCTCCTAATTCTTTCTCCATCTTTCAACATCTAGCTTAAGTCTTACTTCCATCTGAGGTCTCTGGTAATCTACAAGCCTACATCACCTAATTTTTACATTATTGGCTTCTGTCATTAATTGCATACAGCTGATTCTTTGTTATCAAATTTATTTGGTTTCAAAAGTTTGTAAAGTTGATTGTTTGGAATGTAGAGCACATTTCTCTGCAGCAATATTGTAGCTAAGTCAAGGCACATTTGCAGTAAAAATAGTAGAAAGCAATCTCTAGCAATTAAACAAATCAGAACTCTAGTAATTAAACAAAACAGGGAATCAATAAGACTGAATTAGCTTATTCTCATTTATCTTGGGGTGCTGGTTTTTAAGGAATAGTAGGTTTAATTAAAAGAGGATGAAGAGGTATTGGAAATTCATGGATATTCTGAATGGGCCTTATGGGGCAATTTCACAGAAGACATGGGCTCTTTGTTATGTCTTCATTATTTCGCAACCTGTAGCCCTCCATTTCCATGATGCTGATATCTAGCTACTAGTGCTTTTGTACTTAGCCACGATTTGGATTATTTTTGTCTTAAAAAACATTGTGGGAGAATGTCAGCAAAAATGGCTGAGTAAGGACCTCTCAAAATTTTCCCTTCCATAAGAGAAATGAAAAAACTGGCAAAATTATTCAGAATTAACATTTTCAGAACTCCAGAAATTAACTAACAGCTTGTAGCAAACCAGGGAACATTTATTTAAGAAAAATGGCTGCATCTCAGTAAGAACAGTGAAGTCTGTGGCATTTTTTTTTATTATACTTTAAGTTCTAGGGCACATGTGCACAACGTGCAGGTTTGTTACATATGTATACATGTGCTATGTTGGTGTGCTGCACCCATTAACTCATCATTTACATTAGGTATATCTCCTAATGCTATCCCTCCCCACTTCCTCCACCCCACAACAGGCTCTGGTGTGTGATGTTCCCTACCCTGTGTCCAAGTGTTCTCATTGTTCAATTCCCACCTATGAGTGAGAACATGCGGTGTTTGTTTTTCTGTCCTTGCAATAGTTTGCTCAGAATGATGGTTTCCAACTTCATCCCTGTCCCTACAAAGGACATGAACTCATCATTTTTTATGGCTGCATAGTATTCCGTGGTGTTTATGTGCCACATTTTCTTAATCCATTTGGGTTGGTTCCAAGTCTTTGCTATTGTGAATAATGCCACAATAAACATACATGTGCATGTGTCTTTATAGCAGCATGATTTATAATCCTTTGGGTATATACCCAGTAATGGGATTGCTGGGTCAAATGGTATTTCCAGTTCTAGATCCTTGAGGAATTGCCACACTGTCTTCCACAGTGGTTGAACTAACCCTAGTCCCACCTTCTACTTTCCAGCTATGCAATAGCCTTAAAAAGTAACAACCCATATTTTTGGGGGCAGCCACCAGAGTGGGTCTATAACTCTTTCCAAGCCTTGTGCTCTAAGAATTGTCATCCAACTTGTCTGATGGTTCCCTAGAAGACCCCACCTATAAGGCTGACTGAGAACTCACTCAGTGTTAAGTCCCTTTCTGTCCTAGGGGGCATTGTAAAAGACAATTGTAGGCAAGTGTTTTAACTTTGCCTACAAAGTTGCCTGAGGTGATGGACAATAACTGGGGCAAAATAGACTAACAAAAAGCTTAAAAGGACTAACTGGAGAATGAAATATGCATAGGGGCTTTGCAAAGCTTTAATATATTCCTGGTATCTGGAAGGTCATTTACATGAAAGGGCTGTAAGCACGCTTAGAAAAGAATTGAGAAGACTCTAAGCTAAGCTCTCAACTCTGGTTTATCTTGAGATTCTGTACAAGCAGGAAGTGAAGGCTAAGGTGGAGTTGTAAGATTTTCTAGTTTTAAAGGTGTGCACTAGTACCCATACAAAGTCACTCAGAAAACTCTGGGAGATGTATTGGTTCCAGATGTAAGGAAATCTCTGTTTAATCATTAGCTTGTCAAAAGTTAACCAAGTAGAGACAGGAACATGGCAATGAATACAGACTTTACAGAATTAGTTCTGAATAGTCACTAAAACAAACAACAACAATTCCTGTAGATGAGGAGGGAGGGATCTGATTGTAAGAGTTGTAACATTATATTATTATATTTTTTTATTTTTAATGTGTTTTTTTTTTGAAATATAGTCTCACTCTGTTGCCCAGGCTGGAGTGCAATGGCGCGATCTTGGCTCACTGCAACCTCCATCTCCCGGGTTCAAGCGATTCTTCTGCCTCAGCCTCCTGAGTAGCTGGGATCACAGGCACCCGCCATTATGCCCAGCTAGTTTTTGTATTTTTGTAGAGATGGGGTTTCACCATGTTGGCCAGGCTGGTCTTGAACTCCTGACCTCAGGTGATCTGCCCCCCTTGGCCTCCCAAAGTGCTGGGATTACAGGCATGAGCCACTGTGCCTGGCCAACATTATATTATTTTAAATGTCCAGTTTTCAACAAAAAATGAGTGTGCTTTACTAAGTTTTGAACTTACTTGGGATCCATTACTCTTTCTTATATCCTATTTTTCCCTTTTGGTATGGGAATGTCTTTCCTATGCCTGTCCTACCATTGTATTTTTGAAGTGCATAACTTTTTTAGTTTTACAGGTTCATAGCTGGAGAGGAATTTTGCATCAGGAAGACTTGTCACTTGTCTCACCCACATCTGATTTAAATTTTTTTTTTTTTTTTTTTTTTTTTTTGAGACAGTCTCACTCTGTCACCCAGGCTGGAGTGCAGTTGCATGATCACGGCTTACTGGAGCCTTGACTTCCTGGGCTCAATCGATCCTCCTGTCTCAGCCTCCTGAATAGCTGGGACTATAGGCATGTGTCACTACGCATGGCTAATTTTTGTATTTTTTGTAGAGATGGGGTTTTGCTGTGTTGCCCAGGCTGGTCTCAAACTCCTGGGCTCAAGGGATCCTCCTGCCTCAGTCTCCCAAAGTGCTGAGATTACAGGCATAAGCCACTGCACCTGGCCTGATTTAAATATTTAAGTGAGACATTGGACCTTAGACTTTAGAGTTGATGCTGGAATGAGTTACGATTTTGGGGGCTGTTGAAATAGAATGAATGTATTTGGCATATGAGAAGGACATGAATTTTGAGGGGCCTGGAGTAAAATGCTATGGATTGAATATCTGTGTCCCCACAAAATTCATATGTTGAAACCTTATTCCCCAATATTATGGTATTTGGAGATAGGCCTTTGGGAGGTGAGCAGGTCATGAGGTTGGTGCCCTCATGCTGAGATTAAAATGCTCTTATAAGAAGAGACATAAGATAATTTACTTCTTCCCTCTCCACTGTGTTAGGGTACAATGAGTAGGTGGTGGTCTACAAACCAGGAAGAGCCCCTTGCCAGACACTGGATCTGCTGGTGCTTTGGTCTTCCCAGCTCCCAGAACTGTGAGAAAAACACGTTTGTTGTTTAAGCTACCTAGGCTATGGTATTTTTGTTATAGCAGCTGGAACTAAGAAAGAGTCCTTTAGGTTGAATCGAAAGAACTCTATACAGTAACTCAAACCTATATGGAGAAATAACACAAGTAAAGTAATCATGTAGGTAAATATTAAAGGCATATAAATGTATTTGTTGTTTATTATTTATCTTTTTTTCTCATATCTGACTTAGAAGGCAATTGCATGGGGCAATAACTATAAATCTGTATTGATGAGCACATAATAATAATAGCATAGAGGAGTTGAACTATTTAGAGCATTTAAAAAAATATACCATTGGGCTGGGCACGGTGGCTCATGCCTGTAATTCCAGCACTTTGGGAGGCCAAGGTCTGTGGATCATTTGAGGTCAGGAGTTTGAGACCAGCCTGACCAACATGGTGAAAACCCGCCTCTACTAAAAATACAAAAATAAGCTGGGTGTGATGGCACTTCCCTGTAGTCCCAGCTACTTGGGAGGCTGAGGCAGGAGAATTGCTTGAGCCTGGGAGGCAGAGGTTGTAGTGAGCCGAGATTGCACCACTGCACTCCAGCCTGGGTGACAAAGCAAGACTCCATCTCAAAAAACAATTTTTTTAATATATATATATAATTGAAATTAAGTTGATATTAATCAGAACTAGATCGTTATAAACTGAGATGTTAATGGTAACTCCCAGGGCAGCCAATAAGAAAATAACTCAAAAATATATAATAAAAGAATTGACAAGGGAATTAAAATGGTACATGAAAAAATATGTATTTAACACCAAAGAAGGCAATATTGGGGGACTTGAGGAACAAAAAAGACAGGTAGAAAACAGATAGCAAAATGGCAGACATATATCCTACCTTATCAGTAATTAAATTAAATATAAATGGGTTATGCTCTCTGTTTGAAAGCAGAGATTGGCAGCATGAATAAAAAAAAGATCCAACTGTATGCCATCTACAAAAGACTCACTTTAGATTCAAAGACACAAGTAAATTGAAAGTAAAGGTTGGATAAAGATATGCCATGCAAATAGTAACCAAAGAGATGGAGTAGCTATACCAATATGAGACAAATAGATTTTAAGACAAAAAATGTCACTAGAGACAAAGAAAGACATTTTGTCATGCTTAAAAGGTCAATCCATCAGGAAGACAAATTTATAAACATATATGCACCTAACAACAGAGTCCCACATTACGCAAACTAAAAACTCAGAGTTGAATAAAAAAAATAGAAAATTAAAAAACAATAGTTGGGACTCCACTTTCAGAAGGGGAGAGAACAACTAGGCAAAAAAGTAAACAAGGAAATAGAAGACTTAACACTATAAAGCAATGATGCCTAATAGATAACCATAGGACACTCCAACAGCAGAATGCACAATATTCTCATGTACCCATAGAATGAATATCCTCCCAGGTAGACCATATATTAGGCTACAAAAGAAGCCTCAGTAAGTTTAAAGGGATTGAAATTATTACAAAATATGTTATCCAACCACAGTTCAATGACATTTGAAATCAGTAGCAGAAGGAATTTCTGGAAATTCAACATATGTGAAAATTAAACAACATACTCCAAAATAACCGAGAAGTCAAAGAAGAAATCACAAGAGAAATTCAGTCACACTTGGAAATGAATAAAAATGAAAACACGACCATGAAAACCTGCCAAAATATAGGATGCAGCTAAAATAGTACTTAGAGGGAATTTATAGAAATATAAATTCTAAATTCAAATTCTGTCAATTAAACAGTCAATCAATAACTCTTTAGATTTAGTAGAAAATCCTAAAGAATCCACTAAAAATCTGTTAGAACTAGCAAACTATTTCAGCAAGATTGCAGGATACAAGATCAACACACAAAGGTCAATATACAAAGATTAATTATAGTTTTAGACACTTGCAATGAGCAATCAAAAAATAAAATTAAAAAAATTCCATTTATGATGTTATCAAAAATAATTAAAAGAATAGGAATAGATTTAACAAAAGAAGTACAAACCTTATAGTCTGAAAACTAGAAAATATGTTTGAAAGGAATTAAAGAAGGTCTAAATAGAAGAAATCCTATGTTTATGGATTGGAAGACTAAACATTGTTAAGATGACAGTATGCCTCCAATTAATCTACAGATATGATACAATTCCTATTAGAATCCCAGTTGACTTCTTTATAGAAACTGTCAAGCTGATTCTAACATATGTCAAGAGATATTAATAGCCAAAACAATCATGAAAAGGAGGAACAAAGTACAATAGCTCACACTTCCCAATTTCAAAACCTACTACAAAGCAATGGTTATCAAGACAGCATGGTACTGGCATAAGAATAGACATGTAGATTAATGGAGTAGAACCGACAGTACAGACATCGGTCCTACATTTATGGTCCACTGATTTTTGACAAGGGTGCCATAACCATCCACTGGGGAAAGAATAGTCCCTCCAACAAATGTTGCTGGGACACCTGGATAGTTACAAACAAAAGAATGAAGTTTACACTGTATAAAAAACTAACTCAAAATAGATGAAAGACCTAAATGTAATAGCTACAACTATAAGACTCTTAGAAGAAAACACAGCCAGTAGGTAAATCTTCATGACCTTGGATTTGGCAAAGCAGTCTTAGATATGATACCAAAAGCATAAGTAACAAAGGGAAAGACAGATAAATTGGACTTAATCAAAATTAAAAATGTTTGTGCTTCAAAGGACACCAACAAGGAAGTGAAAGGCAGCCCACAGAAAGGGAGAAAATATTTGCAAATCATATATCTGATAAGGGACTTGTACCTAGAATATATAAAGAACTCTTACAACTCAGTAATAAAAGACAAGTAACTCAATTAAGAAATGGGACCTAAATAGTCATCTCTCCAAAGAAGATATACAAATGTCCAATAAACACATGAAAAGATGCTCAGCATTATTAGTTATCAGAGAAATGCAAATCAAAATCTTTCTGAGATATCACTTTAAACCCAGTAGGATGGCTTGAATCGAAAAGCCAGATAATAACAAGTATCACTGAGGTTGTGGAGAAATCAGAACCTTTATACACTGCTATTGGGAATGTAAAATGGTGCAGCTGCTGGCAGTTCCTCAGATGATTAAACATAGAGTTACCATGTGACCCAGGAGTTCCATCCAAGAGAAATGAAAACACATATCCACATAAAAACTTGTACATAAAATTTTACATTATTTTTAGTTGACACATAATAATTGTACATATTTATGGGGTACAGTGTGAGATTTCAATACATGTATACAATATATGTGCAATGATCAAATCAGGGTAATTAGCATATCCATCACCTCAAACATTTATTATTTCTTTGTGTTGGAAACATTCAAAATCCTCTCTTCTAGTTATTTTAAAATAAACAATAAAATATTGTGAACTATAGTCACCCTATAGTGCTATAGGACACTAAAACTTATTCCTCCTATGTTGCCATACTTTTGTATTCATTAACCAATCTCTCCTTATTCCCCTCTCTTCCCACATTTACAGCCTTGAGTAATCACTACTGTACTCCTTATTTCTATATGAACTTTTTAAAGATTCCATCCAACCCCATTGGAAATGAGGAAAAATAAAAAAAATAAAAAATTAAGATTCCATATGAGTGACAATATGTGTTACTTATCTTTTTTGCCTGGTTTATTTCACTTACTAACGTAATCACAGCTATACTGATTTATGTTCCCACCAACAGGGTGTAAGAACTCCCTTTTCTCCATATCCTTTCTGACATTTGCTATTTTTTGTCTTTTTGATAATTGCCATTCTAACTAGGGTGAGATGATATCTCACTGCGGTTTTGATTTGCATTTCCCTGGTAAGTGATGTTGAGCATTTTTTCATATACTTCTTGACCATTTGTATGTCTTCTTTTGAGAAATGTTCAGTTCCTTTAAAAATCAGATTATTATTATTATTATGTTGAGTTGTTTGAATTCCTTGTATATTCTGCATATTAATCCTTTGTTGGATAAATAGTTTGCAAATATTTTCTCCCATTCTGCAGGTGGTCTGTTCATTCTGTTGATGGTTTCCTTTTCTGTGCAGAAGCTTTTTAGTTTGACAGAATTTCATTTATCTGTTTTTGCTTTTGTTGTCTGTGCTTTTGAGGTCTTATCCATAAAATCTTTGCCCAGATGAAGGTCCTGAAGCATTTTCCCTGTTATCTTCTGGTAGTTTCTTAGTTTTGATCTTACATTAAAGTCTTTAATCCATTTTGAGTTGCTTTTTGTATATGGTGAGAGATAGGGGTTTGGTTTCGTTCCTCTGCATCTGGATATCTAGTTTTCTCAGCACTATTTGTTAAAGAGACTATTCTTTCCCCAATGTATGTTCTTGGTGCTTTTGTTGAAAATCAGTTGGCTGTAAATATTTGGATTTATTTCTGGGCTCTCTGTTCTATTCCATTGGTCTATGTGTCTGTTTTTATGCCAGTACCATGCCATTTTGATTATTATAGCTTTGTAGCATATCTTGAAGTCAGGTAGTATGATGCCTCCAGCTTTGTTCTTTTTGCTTAGGAGTGCTTTGGCTATTCAGGGTCCTTGGTGGTTCCATATAAATTTTAAGATTGTGTGTTCTTGTATGTGAATTTTTTTTTTTTTTTTTTTTTTTTTTTTTTTTTTTTTTTTTTTTGAGACGGAGTCTCGCTCTGTCGCCCAGGCTGGAGTGCAGTGGCGCGATCTCGGCTCACTGCAAGCTCCGCCTCCCGGGTTCACGCCATTCTCCTGCCTCAGCCTCCCGAGTAGCTGGGACTACAGGCGCCCGCTACCACGCCCGGCTAATTTTTTGTATTTTTAGTAGAGACGGGGTCTCGATCTCCTGACCTCGTGATCCGCCCGCCTCGGCCTCCCAAAGTGCTGGGATTACAGGCGTGAGCCACCGCGCCCGGCCCATATGTGAATTTTTATAGCAGCATTATTCATAGTAGCTGAAAGATAGAAACAACCCAAATGTCTATCAGCTGACAAATGTATAAATAAAATGTGATGCATACTATAATGGAACATTTTTAAACCATAAAAAGAAATAAGGTACAGATAAATGCTACAACTTGGGTAAACCTTGAAAATACACTAAGTGAAAGAAGCCAGACACAAAAGTCTATGTATTACATGATTCTATTTATAAGAAAGTCCAGAATAGGGAAATAGATGAAGACAGAAGGCAGAATAGTGTTTGCTTTGGGCTGCAGGAGAGATAGCAGCCCAGAGGGAGGGTTATAACTAAAAGACATATCACCTTTTTTGAGGTGATGAACTGTTCTAAAATTGGCGATGGTTGCACATATCTGTGAATTAAATCTTTGAACTAAAAATCATTGAGTTGTATACTCTAAATGGGTGAATTGTATGGTATGTAAGTTATAGCTCAGTAAAGCTGTTTTTTTTTTTTAAGATATCAAATCTACAATCTCATCTTCCATCTTAAAGTAGAAAAAGAAGAACAAAGCCGGGTGTGGTGGCTCACACGTGTAATCCCAGCACTTTCGGAGGCTGAGGTGGGTGGATTACTTGAGGTCAGGAGTTCCAGACCAGCCTGGCCAACATGGTAAAACCCCTTCTCAACTAAAAATACAAAAATTAGCCAAGTGTGGTGGCACGTACCTGTAATCTCAGCTCCTTGGGAGGCTGAGGCAGGAGAATTGCTTGAACCTAGGAGGGAGGCGGAGGTTGCAGAGAGCCAAGATCATACCACTGCACTCCAGCCTGGGTGACAGAGTGAGACTCTGTTTCCAAAAAAAGGAAAAGAACAAATGAAACCCAACATAAACAGAAAGAAAAAAATTAGACTGGCAATAATGAAATAGAGAATAGAAAAACAGTAAAGAAAATCAACAAAGCCCAGGTGCAGTGGCTCACACCTGTAATCCCAGCACTTTGGGAGGCTGAGGCGGGTGGATCACAAGGTCAGGAGATTGAGACCATCCTGGCCAACATGATGTGAAACCCCATCTCTACTAGAATACAAAAAAAAAAAAAATTAGCCGGGCATGGTTGTGCACACCTGTAGTCCCAGCTACTTGGGAGGCTGAGGGAGGGGAATAGTTTGGACCTGGTAGGCACAGGTTGCGTTGAGCCAAGATTGCGGCACTGCACTCCAGCCTGGTGACAGAGCAAGACTCCATCTCAAAAAAAAAAAAAAAAAAAAATCAACAAAACTAAATGCTGGTTCTTAGAAAAGACCAACAAAATTGAGTGAAAAAGTAACTAATAGGAAGTCAAATAAGAAAAATAAGAATTATTATTATTATCTTTAGAGATATGGTCTCATTCTATTGCTTAGGCTGGAGTGCAATGATGTGATCATAGTTCACTGCAGCCTTGAACTCCTGGGCTCAAACGATCCTCCCACCTCAGCTTCCTAAATAGCTGGGACTATAGGCGTGTATCACCACACCTGGCTAATTTTTAAATTTTTAGTAGAGATGGGATCTAGCTATGTTGTCCAGGCTAGTCTTGAACTCCTGGCCTCCAGCAATCCTCACGCTTCAGCCTCCCAAAGTGCTGGGATTACAGGTGCAAGCCACCGCACCTGGCCAAATAACTATTTATGTACTTGGGAAACTGGATTTGAGACCTAAATCTGCTACTAAGTTTCTGATGTGAGTTTGAGAATTTCCCTTAACCTTCTTAGGTTTCACTTCCTTATCTTTAAAATTAAAGCAGTTCATATGGATTCAATAAACTCTATTTCAACAAATTCAGCATTTGCAAGGTCCTACCATTAATAAGATATAATTCCTGTTGTGCCAGATGTGGAATTATTCTGTTTTGCAAACTGACATAAGCCAATCTGGCTATTGTCAACAGACAGATTCTCTCAGTAAATGTTGGTACCTGTGATCATTAGAGGTGGGTGGAAGCTGTATCTCCTTTGCTACAACCTTGCTACCTAGAGCTATTTTTTGATAAAAGCAAGCTTTGAATCAAATTTTGCCTCAGGTACAAGGATCTATTGTTCCGCAAGCACAAAAACAATTATATAGCCAGTTCATATAAGCACAGTGAAGTCCTCATTCTCTCTCCTTTCAGGTTTCTGAGCAAGATGCTTGCATGAAAGATTCAATCTAAGGCCAATGCAAAAATATTGTGAAAGCAGCAGGATCAGCTAGCCTTCCAGTTGGGTGAGGCAATCAAATTCTTTGTTTTGATGTAGGTAGGGGGAATCATAGCATTGAATGCACTTCTATTTCTAGAGTCAATTCTAAAGATGTTAAGCTGCTAGTCTTGGCTGATTCTTACATCAAAGGGCAGAAGTGACTGCACAATTTATTAAGCTAACTACACATTAAGAACATCACTCATTTCACCAATGAAACATTGTATCTAACCTTGTATCAGCTATCTGTTGCCACAGTGATACCGCATAACAAACAATCAGAAAGCCTTAGTGCATAAAAAATAAGTTTATTGCTCAAGTGCCTGAGTTCAGTGGAGGGTCAATTAAGCAGCTCATCTGATCTTGCCTGGGTTTGCCTACATATGTGGGGGTCAGTTGGCTGTTGGCTGGGGCTACTGGGGCAGCATAGTTTTGTTCCATGTGCCTGTCGTCCTCCAGAAGACTATGCAGGGCATGTTCTCATGGTGATAACAGAGATGCAAGACCAAATAAGCTCAATCAGCAAGCTCTTTCCAAGTGTGTGCTGATGTCATGTCTGCTAACATCCTATTGGCCAAAATAAATTATGTGACTGAGCTAGAGTCAAGGGGTGGGGCAAACACACTCTCCATAGTGGAAGGGCACTGGTGTTCTCACTGTGTTATTCTCTGTAATGTTGCTTGTTTCTGTTTTTGAATTAGGTGTAGAATTTTAAAAACCCAAGATAAAAGCAGTGAACATCATGTGGCTTTCATTATCCAAGGTCTGTGGCTGTGAATTAACACATGCCGTGAGTTCATATGTCAGAAAACTGCTTCAGTGTTGTATTCTAGTCATTGGTGTCCATGGAGGAAATATTTATCTACTGTTACACATCTTTATCAGCAGTGTTAGATACCATGGTTTAAATGGTACTGGAAAATGATTTTTAAATCTGGCTTATCTTTTGAGGCTATCAGTCTTCAAATAGTGAGTCTTGCTGGGGCTCTATTAACTAGGCCAAATCAAGAACGCTTTGCTAACCTGTGAAGTTGGAGAATAGAAATGGAGAAAGTTGAACATCATGTAAGCTAATTTTTGTATTGTCCACTTGGTGGTAGAATTGTTTTCAGGAAGTAGTGTGAAGAGTAATGAGCCAAGTACAAGAGAAATAGAATGTTATGAATTCTTAGCCAGGAGAAAAATGCAGCACATGTTTTAAATAGGTATTCTAATCAGCATTATTACTTTTATTAAAGTATAAAAGATAGTATAATCCAGGGTAGGTGTGTTTATATAATAAGTTTTAAATGTTTTTAATTTTTTTTAAGGAGTAGTGATAATTCTATTTCCCAACACATCAAATGCAGCTACTTGCTTACTGGTTAGAGTTCGGTGCTCAGAAATACAGATTTTAGAGATTGTCTTAATTTGGGTATTCCTTAGCACCATTTAATCTTTTCTTTCTCCTATTAAAATTAGAAAAGTTCTTGTATATAACACTACTCTTACAATGTTATGTAAGTCCTTCCTACTCAAATTGTGCCGGGAGTTCACGATCAGTCTGGGCAATATGGCAAAACCCTGTCTCTACAAAAAAGAAAATACAGAAATTAGCCAGGCATGGTGGTGCACACCTGTAGTCCCAGCTACTTAGGAGGCCGAGGCAGGAGGATTGATTGAGTCTGGGAGGTCGAGGCTGTAATGAGCCGTGATCATGCCATTGCACTCCAGCCTGG